>NC_000009.12:30313030-30464545 GCF_000001405.40 Homo sapiens | reverse complement strand
ACAATTTATTGTTCAAACTGATAATCAAACGTTAAGACTAAAAATGAGACAAATTGCTACTGTATGAGACAAATGGGATCTAGCAAGATAATAAATATAAAATATTTCATTATAGATATTTTTGAACAATGAAAGTATGCACTCATTGGCTTATGGATTTTCCAAGGCCATCCTATATAAAATAGCTTTTCCCAAAGTTACTGTCTATTCTCCTCTAGGGTTTCTATTTCCTTTCTTTATAATTATAGCTAACAGATAATGCAGTATAACTAACCTGTAAAGCACTGTTCCAAATGTTTTATATATATAAATTTATTTAATACTCACAACCACTTTGAGAAAGATATTATTATATGTGATTTACAAACGAAGAAACAGAAACAGAGGCTTAGTAATGTGTCCAGTGACTCACAGATAGTAAATGCAGGATTTGGGGGCTATGGGGGAATACTAGGCAGTCTGCTTTCAGAATTTGTGGCAAAAAAAAAATACAAAATTATTTCCACTTTCATACAACTTCTTGATATTTGGCATGGTGTGTGTGTGTGTGTGTGTGTGTGTGTGTGTGTATCTATTTATATTCTCTCTCTCTCCCAAATAGGATGGATGCTCTATAAGAAGACAGATTATGCATTTTTAACTGCTTTTAAAACTATTATTTATAAATATCATACTTGATAGCAAAATAATGAGAAAATAGGGAACATGTTTACCATAATTAAATCCTAAATGGAAGCCTAACTGTGGATATGATGTAACAAAATACAGCAAACATTTGGTAAGAGCATGGACAGTCTGCAGTGGAAGATGAAGCCATGTTGGGATCTGAATTTGTTTTCTGTCATCTCTGGGGAAACAATGCTTATATCACAAGCATAGGTGAAAAGATGTTATTTTATGTACTGATAATACAATCATGAAATAGTTATTGGAGGGAAAAACTATATTGAGATTTTTGAAAGACAAAATACTAACTTGAAAAGAAATTAACATGTAAGTAACCAATTTGAATGCTTAGCAATGTGTAATAATCTATAACTTTTTTTTACAAATTTCAGAAAAATGTTTATTGAATTAGAAATATTAGAATGGTATTAAATTACTTTAAGTTCACAATGCAAAAACTTCATTTCTCAATGAAACAACTTATATTGTTTTTGTTAAAAGTCACACATACATCTTGCTAAATCTGGACATATGCATACACTTGTGATACTATCATCACAACCAAGGTACTAAACATATCTATCACCTCCATACATTTTCTTGTTTTCTTCGTGGATTTTAGGATTTTATGTTTGTCTTGTTTTTGTGTAAGAACACTTAACATGAGATCTTTCTTGTGAACATATTTTAAAGTGCACAATGCAATATTGCTAACTAAAGCTAGTATGTTTTATATCAGATCTTTAGAACATACTCATTTTGTATAAGGTAGACTTTATACCCCATTTTTCCCTCCTAGTCCCAGCCAACCACCATTCTTTATTCTCTGCTTCTATGAGTTTGACTATTTTGGAAACTTCATAAGGATGGATTCATGTAATATTTGTCTTTTGTGACTGGCTTGTCTCACTTAGCATAATGTTATCTAGGTTCACCCATGTTGTTGCAAATAACAGGATTTCCTTTTTTTTTATAGCCTGAATAATATCCCATTGCATATATTTACAAGAATTTCTTTACTTACTGATCTTTTAATGGACATTTGAGTTGTAAAAAAGGTGCTCAATTTAAAAGGTACTTTTCTAACAAGGAAATGCAGATTAAAACCACAGTGAGATAACACCTCAGAACTGTCAGGATGGTTATTATCTAGTTTCTTAAATATTTTTCGTTTTTGAGACAGGGTCTCACTATCTCCCAGTCTGGGTCTAGTGGAACAATCATGGCTCACCACAGCCTCAACCTCCTGGGCTCAGGTTATCCTCCTACCACCTCAGCCTCCTGAGTAGCAGGACTACGGGAGTTTGCCACCATGCCCAGCTAATTTTTATATTTTTGTGTAAAGATAGGGTTTCTTCATGTTGCTCAGGCTGGTCTCAAACTCCTGGGCTCAAGCGATCCACTGGCCTTGGCCTCCCAAAGTGCTAGGATTAAAGGCATGAGCCACCATGCATGGTGGTTATTATCTTAAAGAAAAAAAAGTAACATGTTGGTGCAGAGATGTGGTGAAATGTAAACTTTTGTACACACCTTTGGTGGAAATGGAGAATGGTGCAGCCACTATTGAAACCAGTATGCAGGTTCTTCAAAAAGTTAAAAATGGAACTACCATATGATCCAACAATCCCACCTCTGGATACATATTGAGAAGATTTCAAATTAGTAACTTGAACAGATACCTGCACTTCCATGTTTAGCATAGCATTATTCACAATAGCCAAGATATGGAAACAATCCACACTGTCTTGATCAATGTAGCTTTAGAGTAAAGCTTGAAATCAGAAAGAGTGAATTCACAATTGTTATTTTAAAAAAAATCATTATCATTTTAGGTACTTTACATTTCCATAGAGATAGTTGAGTAAATTTCTTCCTAAAAGGGTTAGGGATTCTGATTGGTTTTATTAAACTACAGGTCAACTTCAGAACTGATATATTAACTATACTGAATTTTCCAATCAATGCACATTAAGTCATGTTTATTTAATTTAAACATGTTTTGTAGTTTTAGTATACCAATCGTGCAAATATATTGTTAAATTAATCACTAAGCACTTCAAACTTTTGGCACTAGTTTAAGTGGTGTGTATGTTTCAATTTCATTTCCAATTGCTCATTGTCAGTAAAATAGAAACTATTTTTTATTGATATTCTATCCTGAAACCTTGCTATACTTATTAATTCAAGCAAGTGTTTTGTAAGCTTTTACACCTAGATGATCATGTAGTTTATGAAAAAAAGAAAGCTTTGTTTCATTTTATGTAAACTCTTTGCATTTGTCTGAACATTCATTATGGCTTGGTGTTAAACATTGTCGAATGAATTTATTGCATCTATTGAGATGATTATAATTTTAAGTATGTTAAATTTTTGAATTATGTTGCTTAATTTTCAAATGTTAAGTAAATTTTCTATTAATAGGATAAACTCTACTTGTTCATAATATATTTTTCTGTAATGCTGAATTCAAATTTACCATTATGTGTTTCAGAGTTTTCGCATCTTTGTTCATGTGAAATGTTGGACTATAGTTTTCTTTCTTTATCCGTCTTTGGTATCAGGGCAATGTGGGCCTCCTAAGATGAATTAGGATGTGTTTTCTCCTGTTGTGTTTTTGGATGACTTTAAATAAAGTTGCATTATTTATTTCATATATAAATGTACGGTAGAATTCACCACCAAGGCATTTAAGATGAATATTTTCTTTGTGTGATGGTTTTTAAACTAACTATTCCATTTTCTTAAAATTATGTTGTCATTCAGATTATGTATTTCTTCTTGAGTAAACTTCTATATTATGTGTTATCACAGAATGTATATATTTCATCTAGTTTGTCAAATTTACAACTATAAAATGTTTGTAATATTTCTATTTATTTCTTACAATCTCTGTAATATCTTTACTGGTGCCTGTTCTTTCATTGCCCATATGGTGATGTTGTGCTTCTACTTTTTTCTCCCTACCTTTGTTTCTCCCTCTCATCAATTTGTTTCATGTTTAATAAATTTTATTAACATCATAAAAACTCACTTTTGTTTACATTTTTTTTTTCTTTTCTGGTTTGTAAGTTTTTTGATTTTGTAGGGAGCATCTACTCCTATATTAATGCACAATTTTGCTGACTTTGGGTTCAATATGCTCTTCTTTGTTTACTTTATTAATGATAGAAATTTAGGTCTTAATTTAAGATATTTCTCCTATTATAAGCTTCTTTTTATTGTTGTTGTTGTTGTTTTGAGAGGGAGTCTTTCCCTGTCGCCCAGGCTGGAGTGCAATGGCGGGATCTCGGTGCACTGCAACCTCCAGCTCCTGGGTTCAGGCGATTCTCCTGCCTCAGCCTGCCTAGTAGCTGGGATTACAGGCACGCGCCACCATGCCCGGCTAATTTCTTGTATCTTTAGTAGAGATGGGGTTTCACCACGTTGGCCAGGCTGGTCTTGAACTCCTGACCTTGTGATTCGCCTGCCTCGGCATCCCAAAGTGCTGAGATTACAGGCATGAGCCACCGTGCCCAGCCTATAAGCAATTATTCTTATACATTTTTCCAAGTATTTAGTTTTATGTTGCAGATTTTAATATATTACATTTTCATTTCATTCACTTAAAAATACTTCCTAATTGCCATTTCTTCTTTGGGCCATAGGGTGTTTAGAAGTGTATTGTTTAGTTGGCTAATATTTGTAGATCTTCTAGATGGTGTCCTTTTTCTTCTGCTTTGGTCAGATAACATTTTATGTGGTCTTAAACTTTTTAAATTTTTATTTTACGGTTCAGAACTGGATTTATCTTTTTAAACATTCTCTGTGCCTTGTAAATAATGTGTATTCTGCTGTTTTGATGTAGTGTTTTCTATAACTGACAATTAGGTCAATTTGGTTCATAATATTGATCAAGTTTCGTATATCCTCAATGATTTTCCAAGTTTTCAATTACTGAAAGAATGAATGTGGAAAAGCAAACTGTAATTGCAAATATGTTATTTCTCCCTTTAGTTCTATCCATTTTATTTTATTGACTATGACGGCTCTGTTGTTATGTTCATAGGTATTTAGGATTGTGATATCCTTTTGATGACTTACCCCCCTTTGTCCTTATGAATGCCCTTCTTTATATTTGACTGTAATGTTTATATCAATATCTAACTTGTCTGATGTTAATATAGCTATGTCAACTTTTCTGATTAGTGTTTATGTGGTGTATTGTTTTCCTTTTATTTAGCATTGTGATGTCTCTAGTGGACACACTCTATGGTGACCCTGAATGAGTCATATCATTATGTAGTTTCCTTTTCTTGAGTATGAGCAGAACCTGCAACTTGCTTCTAATTAATGAAATAGGTGGTAGGATGTTAATATCTTTATTAGGTTATACTATGTAAGTCTCCATTTTAGTTGGCTGAAGAGGGAGAGATCCCTTGTTGTCACTGAGGAAATAAGCTGCCTTGTTGTGAGAGGGCATATGAGAAAGCCCCTGGAATGTATCTGAGAGCCAGCAAGAAAACAGAAACTTCGGTCCTACATCCATAATTAGAGGAATTCTGCCAAGAATCAGAAGCTTGGAAGCAGATTATCCCTAAGTCAGGCCCATAGATAAGAACACACTGACTGACTGACTGACGCCTTAATTGCAGCTTTGTAAGATGCTGAGAAGACCCAGCTGTGCTGTGCCCTTCCTTATTCCTGACCCATAGAAATTGTGAGACAATTGTATTGTTTTAAACAATCGTATTAATTTAAAACACATAATGCAAAACTAATGAAGTTACATATACAGGTATTTTGTGTGTATGGTTGTTTGCTTTTTGTAGATATCATTACTTTTTTATCTAGACTGACAATTTTTGCCTTTTTAACTGGAGTTTTTAGAATATTTATGCTTATGGTAGTTTTTTATATGTTTGCTTTAAATCTACCTTCTTGTTTATGTTCTCTTAGTTTCATTTTTGCTTGTTCATCTGTTCCTCTTTTCTGGCTTTTAGGTAGAACTTTTATTAATTTTTTAAATTTTTTTTATCTCAATAGGTTTTTGAGAAACAGGTGGTGTTTGGTTATATAAGTAAGTTCTTTACTGGTGACTTCTGAGATTTTGGTGCACCCATCACCCAAGCAGTGTACACTGTACCCAATGTATAGTTTTTTTTACCCCCTCACCCATCTCCCACCCTTTCCCCCAATTCCTCAAAGTCCATTGTATCATTCTTATGCCTTTACATCCCCATAGCTTAGCTCCCACTTATGAGTGAGAACATGCAGTGTTCGGTTTTCCCTTCTTGAGTTACTTCATTTAGAATAACGGTCTCTAATTCCATTCAGGTTGCTGCAAATGCCATCATTTTGTTCCTTTTTATGGCTGAGTAGTATTCCACAGTGTGTGTATATATATATACACACATATATGTGTGGCAGTGTTTGTGTTGGTGAATGTATATATGCCACAATTTCTTTATCTACTCATTGATTGTTGGGCATTTGGGCTGGTTCCGTATTTTTGCAGTTGTGAATTGTGCTGCTATAAACTTGCATGTGCAACTATCATTTTCATATAATGTCTTCTTGTCTTCTGGATACACACTCAGTAGTGGGATTGCTGGATCAAATGGTAGATCTACTTTTAGTTCTTTAAGAAATCTCCACACCGTTTTCCATAATGGCTGTACTAGTTTACATTCCCACCAGCAGTGTAAAAGTGTTCCTGTTTCACCACATCCACACCAACATTTGTAATTTTTCTATTATGGCCACTTATGCAGGAGTAAGGTGTTACCGCATTATGGTTTTGATTTGCATTTATATGATCATTAGTGATGTTGACTGTTTTTTCATATGGTTGTTGGCCATTTGTATATCTTCTTTTGAAAATTGTCTACTCATGTCCTTAGCCCACTTATTGATGGGAATTGTTTGTATTTTTCTTGCTGATTTGTTTGAGTTCCTTGCAAATCCTGGATATTAGTCCTTAGTCATATGTATAGATTGTGAAGATTTTCTCCCACTCTGGTTATTATGCTGATTGTTTCTTCTGCTGTGCAGAAGCTTTGTAGTTTAAGTGCCATCTATTTATCTTTGTCTTGGTTGCATTTGCTTTTGGGTTCTTGGTCATGAAATCTTTTCCTAAGCAAGTGTCTAGAAGGGTTTTTCCAACGTTATATTCTACATTTTCAGGGTGGGTATTGTATCTTGGAACTCACATTGTGTCTTTTCTTTCTTGTCTTTCTTATTTGACTGCCCTCCTAATTTTTATGTGCACAAATTTTCTGTCTCTAAACATTCTGTTCGTGTTTTCCTTTGTTTTTTTGCTTTTTGTTTTACACCCTGAGATTTTTACAACTTTATTTTACAAATATTATAATGAAATTTTTCTTTTGGCATTTATATTGTAATATCAAAACGTGTATTTCTTGGCTGGCGCAGTCCCTCACGCCTGTAATCCCAGCACGTTGGGAGGCCGGCCCAGGCGGGCGAATCACGAGGTCAGGAGATTGAGACCATCCTGGCTAACATGGTGAAACCCCGTCTCTACTAAAAATACAAAAGCAAAATTAGCCTGGCGTTGTGGCCAGCGCCTGTAGTCCCAGCTACTCGGGAGGCTGAGGCAGGAGAATGGCGTGAACCCGAGAGGCGGAGCTTGCAGTGAGCCGAGATCGCGCCACTGCACTCCAGCCTGGGTGACGGTGCGAGACTCCGTCACAAAAAAGAAAAAAAAGTGTATTTATCTATTGCTTCATTTTCCAGCAGATGATATATTTTCTTCCCAAATGCTTCAGAGAGTAGCAATTAAAAATTTTTTCACTTTTCTCCTAAATTGTTTCAGTGCTTTTTATTTTTTTCTTTCTTTTTTTTTCTTTTATTATTATTATACTTTAAGTTTTAGGGTACATGTGCACAATGTGCAGGTTAGTTACATATGTATACATGTGCCATGCTGGTGTGCTGCACCCATTAACTCGTCATTTAGTATTAGGTATATCTCCTAATGCTATCCCTCCCCCCTCCCCCCACCCCACAACAGTCCCCAGAATGTGATGTTCCCCTTCCTGTGACCATATGTTCTCATTGTTCAATTCCCACCTATGAGTGAGAACATGCGGTGTTTGGTTTTTTGTCCTTGCGATAGTTTACTGAGAATGATGATTTCCAATTTCATCCATGTCCCTACAAACAAATTTACAAGAAAAAAACAAAGAACCCCATCAAAAAGTGGGCAAAGGACATGAACAGACACTTCTCAAAAGAAGACATTTATGCAGCCAAAAAACACATGAAAAAATGCTCACCATCACTGGCCATCAGAGAAATGCAAATCAAAACCGCAATGAGATATCATCTCACACCAGTTAGAATGGCAATCATTAAAAAGTCAGGAAACAACAGGTGCTGGAGAGGATGTGGAGAAATAGGAACACTTTTACACTGTTGGTGGGACTGTAAACTAGTTCAACCATTGTGGAAGTCAGTGTGGGGATTCCTCAGGGATCTAGAACTAGAAATACCATTTGACCCAGCCATCCCATTACTGGGTATATACCCAAAGGATTATAAATCATGCTGCTATAAAGACACATGCACACGTATATTTATTGTGGCACTATTCACAATAGCAAAGACTGGGAACCAATCCAAATGTCCAACAATGATAGACTGGATTAAGAAAATGTGGCACATGTACACCATGGAATACTTTGTTTTCTTTTTCTTTCAAATAGACTGGAAGTTCTGTGCACATGAGCAGGATTTTCTCTTTTCAGCATAGCTGTAGGCCTAGAACATTTGTGCTGGGTGACCCTAAATAACAACAAATGTGGTACAAATCCACATTTACTGGATAGATCAATTCACCTAATTTCGAGTCTATTCTAGGATGAGGAAGGGACAGGGAAAGTGGCAGAGTTGACTCATATAGTGATTTCCACTTATTGCTTCCTTTTTCATTCTACCTGCCTTTCTTTGCTCATTCCTTCCCTCTGTTGAACTTCCCGTTTTTAAATCCAGAGCCTCTTTGAGATTCTGCTTGGGTAAATCAGCACCTTTTCTGGGTGGTAGTACTATTGAATTAAATCTAAATCTATGCCTTTAATTTTTAAAATTATTATCAGAAAATAGCTGCATGCTGTTACAATCTACTTACTTAGTTTGCATATGCATATTGAGCATTTTTGCTAAATTAGAGCAAACTTTTAAACTAACATGTCTGTGTTCCATGAAATTCTAAGGTAGGAAGTTATTTTATTTGAATGAAAATTTTTCGACATCCTTATTAATAATTGGTTACAGGTTACATTTGTTTTTACTTTACAACTAAAAAAAAAATGCCACATAAGAGCCATTTACTCCAAGGCAGAGGAAAATAATTATCTACTTATTACAAAATCAAAATCAAATCCCTAAAATGTACCTTTATTATTTCACAAAATTATTTACTCTACTAACTGTCAAATCCATCTTTGTGCTACGTCCTCACATTTCAGAATAAACATTCTCTTTTCTACCATGTTCTGCCTCTATTTTCTATTATGCCAGAAATGGCTCTGTAATGAAAATAAAGTGGAAAACATGTCTACTGATATTTACTTTAACTGAATATTATTGGCCAGCAAATATAATATTTTTTAATTTGTAGATGTAATGCACTATGGGAAAATCACTCTATTCAAATATTGTATATGATATCATTTAAAAATATAATATTTTTCTTATAGGCTTGAATAGGAAATGTCTTGATCATGAATAGTTATCCTCCTGAGGCATCTTCCAGAGAGTTTATCATGAAATAAATAGTTTTTCAATACAAAATATGATTTGAGTCAGTATAGATTGTTGCATTAACTACATAAAATGAAATTAAAGAAAATTTCTAGTTAACACCAAGTGAAATACAGAGAAAACAATTAGGATGGAATGTATTAAAAGTGTTTAATATACTTCTTTTATTAAAAACCATGTTTTAAGTTCTAATCTCTGCTGGGACTCAAATTCACATTATGCATTTTCACATTTATTGGTTTTCTATAGCTGAGTAACAAATCACTACAAGCTTAGTGGATTAAACAACACATATTTATTACCTCACATTTCCATGGGTCAGGAGACTAACCAGGTCTGTGATCAATGTCTCAAAGGCTGTAATCAACATCTGAGGTGTGTAGGTCTTCTTCTAAGCTCACTGGTATCAATTAAAAAGAAAACCAGATATAGATTAACTTTATTCAAAAAGACTATTGCAGAAGGCAGAATGCTCGAAACTCTGAATCTACAAGTGTCTAAAAATCAAACAGAGAAAGATTTTTCTTTTATAGAGAAACGTCAGCAGGGCTGCTAAAAGCTTTGTGTGGGAGAAGGGCAGGCAGTGGGCTGAGCAGAATGCTTCAACAGAAAAACGTTTCTCTCAGCAATCTGGTCATTCTTGGAATAAAGTGTTAAAGGGTTATTCTGTACTTTAGGGCTTTTTCAATCTTGAGTAGTGACCCAAAGTTTAGAGGCCCTAGAGGAGGAAACATGATTGAATAAAATTTGATCAAGTCAAAGCAATGAATAAGTTATGGGTAATTGTGAGCAACTGGTCAGATTTGGGATCAGCACACACCCCATCCTCTGTTGTTTACTACAAACAAAGTTTGTCCTTAAAATTGATTAGGAATGGAATCAGACTTATTGTGAAGTTAAGGTTTGCAAAATGATTTTCAGGGTTGGGTTGGCCTTCATGTTCTTGTTAACTTTGAGGACTAGGTTTGCAATTTGTAAAGTATGTTGTTGTACTGACAGCTGCTGGAGGATCTTCTTGGCTAGGCATTAGATGAGAGGCCTATAATAAATAGAAAAATAATGAAATGAAATAAAATTAAAAGAATAATTATTGACATTTGAACAGGGGAAGAAAACCAAGATTTGAGATTTGAAGGGACATTGGGCCTGAAGTGTCCTTAGATGGCAGGATGAGGATGAGAATGGCAATCTGACAAATATTTCAGTTTGTTGTCTGAATATTTTTGGTGAAGGCATAAACATTAAACAGGTTTCAGGGAACATATGCACAGTAGTCACTTCTGACCACTGCATAAATATCCTCTTGAAAAGCTAGATCATGTCCAATGTTAGATAATTGCAGAGGACCACTTGCTAAAGTTTCTGTACTTCTCTGGCAATGATGTTTATAGTTTCAGTGAGAATTCCTGTAGTTCTGCTTGTTTTCCAGAGAATAGCATGGAAATTGTGGGAATTTCAGTGAACTTACTGATTGGTCATATAGCAGTCATGAAAGTTGCCCGTACAAGAACTACTATGGTAGCTAGCCTTTTAGGTCTACTCTCAATCTCTTAGATTTTTCTTCTAAAGCTTTCTGACAATTTGATGGAAAATGAAAACCAGGACCTCCTTATAGGGCTAAGATTTTGCACCTAGTCTTGCACTTGTAAAACATTTTGCAGACCTTTTGGATCGTCTAGTGCCTGAAAAACTTGGCTCAGAAATAATAAAGTAGTTAAGATCAGAAAAAAAAAGTGTCTTTTAAAGGTTTAATAAAGCCTACTTAGATTAGCCAGATCACAGGATCCAGTCCAACTGGCAAGGAGTGATGGATGTGTTTGTTTCAAATAAAATATGTCTCATTAGGGATTCTATAGAGAAAATATTTATGTATCCTTAAAATTCATATGTTAAAAGCTAATCCTCAATGTGATGGTATTTGGAGATGGAGTCTTTAGCAGCTGATTAGGTAATGAGGGTTGAGTGCACACAAATGTTATTAGTGCCCCTTTACATGCCTTTAAATGCTCCCAGAAAGCTCTTTTGTTCCTCTGCCACATGAGAACAGAAGAAGATGGCCTTGACTATGAATCAGGAAGTGGGCTCTCAGCAGACGGTGAATCTCTTGGCAACTTGATCTTGAACATGTCTGCCTCCAAAACTGTGAAAAAGACTGTTTGCTGTTTAAGACACTGAGTCTATGGTATTCAGTTGTACAGGCCCAAATGTACTAAGACAGGGCTATGCAGGATTCCTGTGTATAAATGTCCAGTAGATTGCTCTTTGGGGTTTACGAGCTCTTTTGATGGAGTCGTTGTCCTGTAAAGTTCAAAAGATAAGAGTTCCCAGTTTTTTGTTTTTGTTTTATTATTTTTTTGTAAGACAGTCCTAACTGTGCCAGGTAAAATTAAACTTATGGTTATCTGAGTCTATTACATGCATATAATAAGACGAGGAATCTGTATTCTTGTCTCCTATAATAATGTAGATATTTGTGTTGGTGGGAAATCAGGTGCAATTGCAAATACATACACTGATGAAAAGAACCTTGTTTATGTTCAGGTAGAAACAAATGTTGGCCTTTTAAAAAGTATTAATGTTGAAGGGTGTTCCTTTTCAAATCTAGAGGGAGACGATAAAGTTCCCTGTGCTAACACAAAGGATGCCCTTGAATCAAGGCAAGTTTAGGAATTTGGGGGAAACTAGAGGCTTCCAGAGGAAAAAGAGTACATAACCAGCAATTAGAAATAGGACTATAAGATTGTGCCATGAGTTGAGTGAGGGAATAAGATATATTGGGGATCCTTGGAATAATGGGGAGTCATTATAGGGCAAACAGCTTCACTAAGGTGGAGAAGAAGGTAACACAAAGTAAGACTCCTTATGGAAGGCTGTGTTTACAATGAGGAGAAGTATGCAGACAACAAAGTTGTCACTGAAGGGGATAAAGAAGAAGGACGAAGTAAAGGACAAATACAATTCTGAAAATAGGAAATAAGCAAGGGAATCCTAGGGTGTGTTGTTCTCACATATAAAGTGGAAAATTACCTCCTCCTCATGATGTCTACTTGTTTTGAAATTACTGGAAAAGCTGTATACTTATGACACTATCTGATTCTGGGAGCTCCTGAGAGACAGTCTTAGTTTTAGGTCTCCCATTGGGATGGACTTCCATTCATACTAGCTTTTGTATCTTTTTAGTTGAGTAGTATGAGTGCAAAGTTAGATCCCCTGATGTTTGGCAACCATGCTAGTGATAAGAAGAATGTTGTAAATGTCCTTCCTGCAGAGTTTAACATTAGCTTTCTAGTGATGCTCTCTTCAGAATACTAAATCTTCATTTCTTGATTGTGGAGTGGTTTGGATGAGAGATGGGAGGAAAATCATCAACCCAACCTGCTGAGATTAATGATGGGTATAATTAATATATCTTTTGCAGTATTTTAGAATGTCTGGGTTGACTAGGTTAGAATCTTTGAGAGTTCAGGCAGCATAGGGAGTTCTTATGGACTGTCCAGTTGTCCAGTTATTACTTCATGTGTAGACAGTTGAAATGACCCAGCAGGAGTGGACTCGAGGGAATTCAGGGGTAACAGCAATGAGAAAATGAATTCTTTTAAAGTTTAGTCATATTTAATTCTAATAGTCCATTAGGTCTTTCTATCACTCTAGATGACTGAGGATAAAGATAGTGCAATTTTTGAGATAAATGGATAATTCTTTAACTTAGTTGTATTACTTTACTTTTGAAATTAGTCTCTCTGTCACTTGAAAGAGCCAGTGGAATTTCCCATGTGGAGAATGCATTTTCTAACAAAGGTTTAGCAATAGTATGGCAATGAAACTTTTACAATGGGAAGCTTCAAGGCAGTGAGAGGACATGCAGAAGATACTTAAGAAAATATTGATATCCATGATATTTAGATAAATGGCTAAAATCTAATTACCGGTTAAGAAAATGTCTTGCTAATAGATTTAGCTTCCTTTCTTGTCTTTACATCTTCACTAGGGTTATGTTTTCAACAGATGGGGTACAAAGACAGCACCAGATAGAGAGTGAAATTTGCCCACCAATGTTGGCAGAGGAGTTTATTTAGTTTCTCCCTTCCATGGTAAGTGATCTTGTAAATGTCAAAGACTAAATCTAGGGCGGGGGAGCCACATGGTCAGTTGAATGTCTTCTAAGTCTAACCGGGTGGTTAAAATATACAACTTGGCCATTTTGTTCATGGACTTTAAATTGGAAGATTTTAAATTCCTCAATTAAGGGTCAGATTGTAAATACAGTAGACTTAAAATCCTGACTGATTGGACTGAGAATGGAACAGCTTTCTGAGATACCCACCTAAGCATATTGATCAATTAGTGAGTTTCCTTTTATTTTAGGACTATTGGCACCCATGTGTGTTTCTACCTTGAGAATGGCCACCTTTCTTGGCTATAACAGAACTTCTAATATTTCGGACACATGTTTTTCATTTTTAATTGATGCTCCTTGCATTAGTTATTGTTCTCTAGAGGGACAGGACTAATAAGATAGATGTATATATGAAAGAAAGTTTTTTTAATGAATATTGGCCCACACAAAGGTGAAGTCCCACAATAGGCAGTCTGAAAGCTGAGGAGCAAGAAAGCCAGTTTGAGTCCCAAAACCTCAAAAGCAGGGAAACGGACACTGCAGCCTTCAGTCCATAGCCGAAGGCCCGTGAGCCACTGGCAAACCACCGGTGCAAGTCCAAGTGTCCAAAAGCTGAAGAACTTGGTGTCCGATGTTCAAGGGTAGGGAGCATCTAGCACGGGACAAAGATGGAGGCCAGAAGATTTCACCAGTCTAGTCTTTCCATGTTCCTCTGCCTGCTTTTATCGTAGCCACACTGGCAGTTGACTAGATGGTGCCCACCAGGATTGAGGGGAGATCTGACTCTCCTAGTCCACTGACTCAAATGTTAATCTCCTTTGGCAACACTCTCACAGAAACACCCAGGAACAATACCTTGCATCCTTCAATCCAATCTAGTTGACAATATTAACCAACACATCCCCTCTATGGTCAAAAATCTTTTTGTTTTCAATAACATGCCACACTCAGGTACTACCTAAAAAATCATACATACTTGCTATGTAAATGATAACTCTTTTTCTTCAGTCAAAGAAATAGCTCTTGTGGGAGACACAAATTCAGTGATTTGAGATGACTCTGAAACATAGTGGCATATATTGTATGGGGTTTACAAATCTATAATGGGATATTGTACCTTGATATTTCCTCCTAAAGGTGCAGAGACATGAACCATCAACAAAAAAGGGTAAGGTCTGGATTCGCAAGGGCATTCTCAATGTTCAGGGAAGAGGAAGGTTGAGGCTTGAGTGGCTGTAATACAATCGTGTGTTTACTTCAGTTGGGAAAAGGAGGATCGTGATAGGATTGAGTTGACAGCAATAAACAGTGATGGGAGAAGGAAAAAGCATAAGAGTTAATTAGAGGTGAGCTGAGAAGCCAAATATTTAGAGTGATATGAGTTAGAAGAGTCTAAATTGCATGAGATATATGATGTTCAGGGTAAGAACTAGCAAAGGTCAACTATGGCTTCAATTATTTCTGCTCTTCCTACCACTGATCATGTACAAGCTTGAGATACAGGATGTATGATAAAGCTAAAATATCCCATGAGCCTGTAGTTTCTGTTGCATTTTTCAGATAGGAAACCTAAGGTATGTCATTTTCTTTCATGAAAAATGAGGGAGGAGGGCGAGGAGTAATTAGGGAATTCCAAAGTAAGGGTGGAGGAAAAAATATTTTTAGAAATAAAAAAATTTTATAGAGTGATTCCCATTGCAGAAGTTTAGATACAATCTAATTTGTTATGAATATAAATGGGATAATATAGCAGAAGAAGTTAATAATCCACATTCCACAATAGATAATTAGTCTTAGAAATCCCTGAAGCTGACTCTTGGTTTGAGGCAGGGAATAATTAAGAATAGTATTGATAAGATCTGGGAATAAGATTTTTCCCTCAGGCCTAAATAGTAGGGGGTCATGAATTGAACTTTATATATTGAGAACTTATATTACTTCTGTTCTAATATTTTTAAATAAGTACTGTGTGTCTTCTAAAAATTCTTGAATCATGTAAATCAAAGAAAGATGAAAACAACATATTGGATGAGGGTTGAATTGCAATGTAAGCCCACCTTCTTTTGATTTTTATTTACTGACTGGGCAAAATAAATGGGGGCTTCTGTAAATCCCCAGGATGCGACTGTGTAATCATATTCTTGAATTTTCCATGGAAAGGCAAATAGGTATTAGGAATTAGGGCAACACGTTATAATGAAGAAAGCAATAGAACAAGTCAACAAATATAAATAACATGGTGTTAGAGGGTATGGAAGCAAGAAGAGTATTAGGGTTTGGGACAAAAGGAAACCTTGATTTTTTAAATTTTATTTATGGCCCACAAATCTTGATCCAATTAGAAACTCTTTCCATTAGGATATTTTACAGCTAAAATTATGTGTTACATGGGCTGGAGGTAGAAATAAGGAGCCCCTTGTCAAGCAACTATTGAATGCTAAGTCTGAAACCTTTAATTGCCCCAGGTTTTAGTGTACCTTGTTAGACTGAGACGCCAAAGTGAGGTTTACATCCAGCTCTAAGGACCCTGCTTCCTAAACGTGCCCTGCTGCTGTTATCCCTATACTACAAACTAAATCAAGTATGTGAATGGTCATATTTAGAATTTGGAGATTGTCATTGTCAAGTGTTTGGGGAGTTATAAGTGTGAGAAAACTGGAGTGTTCTATCAGAGACAATAGAGGGCAAAGATCAGTGGAAGAAAAGACTGACATTTCAAAGGTTAGTCCCTCAGGTGAACATGAAATATTAACAATTTAACTAGAAAATAAATTTCTGCCAATAGATTAATAATTATTCTGGATTAATAAAAAGCTATGCTAGGAATTATGGAGTCCCAGAAATACAAAAGGAGCCAACAAAGGGGTAATATATCTTACCTCAACAGAGAGGTGGTTTGTGTTCTTCAAAGAATTACCATGGGTAATTTTGAGGTGTTCAGGTTGGAGTAGGTAGCTCTGGTGTCTACCAGAAATGGGAAGATTCCCATTGATTGAACTTATCATTCCCCCTATAGTATTAAGAGTATCTTGGGGCAGGGAAGGGCAGATCTCCTTGGGAGGGAGATATTGAAACTCCTGTGTTTGAAGTTAAATACTTTAGTGTAATTGAGGATGGCTCTATGGATTTGAGATGATTTTCCTTTTATTTAAGTTGAAGAGTCATGAGCTTTTATGATTTAATTTTAATTTTATAAGCCCATCCTACATCTTCATGATGTTGTGCTAAAGCATGGATTTCAGAGTGAATGACATTTTGGCAATGGATATGATATAATAGCCTCATAATTCTGCATAGAACCCACTAATAAAGCTGGTAACTAAGCAGAGCATCCAGGTCATTTAGGATTATCTAGCATTAGGCCTGATTAATTCTTCCAGATGTTTTCTAAGTGGTGCCTATAATTAGTGACTAATTCATTTCTTTGTTGTTTACAGTTTTGACAATTTAACCAGTCTATTTTTTATGGGAAGTCTCTAAGGATGGAATCTAAGTTTTTTTTTTCTAGTCTTCTCAGTTCTGTGATAGGCCTTAGTGTATTTTTATTTAAGTAAGTCTGTTGATTCTTATCCATTGGTCTCTTCAAACTATAAAGAGGCATCTGTGGAACACACAAGAATTGAGCTAACTGGTGAATGTCTGAAAGCTTAGAAGAACATGACTCTAAGACAAATCTGAATTATGTAAAAAATTTCTCTCTGTATGGGCATGGGTCAGGGAAGTTCTTTATTATAACAAATAAGTCAGATCAAGACCAAGGCTTAAAATTAACTTATTGAGAAGAGGACAACTGAGTTTCTGCAGCTTCTTATTTTCAGGGTCTGAGAACTGGAGGAACAGGACCAAGTTCTTGAGAAACTATTAAAAAAAAAACTGGGGAGCTGGCAAAGTAGAGACAGATTTAGATAGGGGTGGTTAAATACCAGGATGATAACAACCTGGTTGAGAGAGACAGGAGGAAATTTTGAGGAGAGATAAGGAGAGTAAAAGATTGTTCTTGTTAAATGGCCTAATTAAGGTTAGGCTAAAATGCATTAGAATTCAATAATGTGAACAGCCATATGCAGTCTCTCTGAAGAAAGCAGTTACTAGATATTGGAACAGTATATAATCATATATGTGTGTATGTGTGTGTATATATATATATATGTATAAAATAAAAATTATATATATGTAATTTTTGACATACAGGTTTGCTGTATCACCCAGGCTGGAATGCAGTGGTGCAATTAAAGCTCACCATGGCCTTGAACGCCTGAGATCAACAGATATTCCTGACTTAGCCTCCCCAGTAACTAGGACCACAGGTATGAACCTACCACATCTGACTAATTTTTTTTAGAATGTTTTTGTAAGACAGAATCTCATTATGGTGCCCAGGCTGGTCTCACTCCTGGGCTGAAACAATCTGCCTGACTCAGCTTCCCAACATGCTGAGATTACAGGAGTGAGCCATAGCACCCAGCCAGTTATTAACTTATTTGCAGTAATACCATAAAGTAATTAATTGCACACTTGTCTCTATGTTATGGATTTAATGGTTGTGAATGTAAATTTACATATTTTATCTGAAATTTTTATTACCTATTCGTAATTTTGTAAAAGAAGCCTGCCACATTGCTGTACGATTACTGCTACATAATGTTATTCCAAAGGAGGCACCATGAGTTCATTTTGTGAGAATGAAATTATATGTAGTACAAGGCTGAGCAAGAAAATATTCTGTGCCTATAACTATAATGTTATGAAATCCTTAAGTCAAATATGAAACTGTAATAGCAAAGGAAATTATTATGTAACAAATACATTATCCCTGGTGGAGAAATGTGTGTCGTAAGGATGGTTAAAAGTAAACAGAATATTTTTGTGTGTGTGCATTTATCATGGGGATGGGAAGCCTAGAAAAAATTTAAGCAGACCATCCAATGTCCTGGTTTTCCAGGATGGCTAGAAAATGTAGAGACTGAACAAAGGATGGCAAGCGTAGAACAAAATAAGGTAGTTAAAAAGAAAGACAATTTGTAATAAAGGTGGCATGTAGAGGTTAGAAACATTTCCTTGGCTTTTAAAAGTTCCTACAAAATATTGTGTTTATAAACTGAGATAATTATTTTTAAGGATCTGGAACTAAGCATATAGGTAAAAATGTAAAGAAACTAATAAGCATGAGAATATAGTACTCTGACTAAAGTAATTTTGACTACAGAACGGAAACTGAGGACATTAAAAAAAAATAATAACTGAAAAGCTCTGAGGGCCCAGGCACTAACTAACCTTGAATTCCAAACTGAGACATTTGAAATTTTTATACACCGATAATTATGATGATTCAGCTTCTAAATTAGTCTTCTGTTAGAGTAAAATGGTCTGTTTTAAAATTGTTCCTTTTAAAAATTGTACAACAATAAACCAGTGACTGACTTTGTGAGTTCTCTATAATATAATCTAGGTTTGCTATTTCCCAAATGTATCAGAATATAGGCTAATCTTAGAAAAAAACAATGAAGTGGCAAAAAATACCTTTGAACCACGTACATAATTGACTTATCTTTCTGGCTTTTTTAGCAAATCTTAGGAAAAGATAATTGATTTTTTTATAATCTCAATACATACATAAAATGGTAGCATTTTATTGTACTATTTCACAATATGGCAGTTAATGAACATGCACAGTATAATTTTTCATTCACTTAAATTAGCACATTCTTTATATGTTGTATTAGATATATTCAGTTCACTGGTGAAACAAAAATAATTATCTTGATATGGTTATAAATATAGAAAATTATAAGTGGTTCCAAAATTTTAGATGATTTTTCTCAGTGCAAAATAAAATTAGCCTTTTGTATTGTCAACAAAAAAATTTAGACAGCAGAATCTATTGAAATTATAGGCAACCATCTGATTTATATGTTTTTATATGTATGTGAATATTAAAGTTTTAGTATGCCTTTAGAAATTAGAAGTATTGTGTTGTTAAGTGCTATAACCTGGTAGAATTTATTTCCAAACCAATTGGTGGCAGTTTGGGAAGGAGATAACCCTACTCCAATTTGCTTCACATAGTAATTTTCCTTAAGCCAGCATGTTGAAACTTTCAAAAATAAGAAACATTTCTCTGCATGCATAAACATCAGAGATATTGTACAAGTTCAACTGAAACACTCTTTGAATTTGCAGACTTTTAAAGTACGTAAAATAGATGCAAATTTCTGTTGGAAAAACAGAAGACATGGTCTTTGGAATTAATCACAAACAAATAGAATACACAAATTGTTGTGTCCAAGCTTATTGAACTTGGGTTTTGTTCAAAATTAATGTAGAAATCCTCAGGAAATATAGTTTTTTCTCGACATCCCTGACACTTCGGATCATTATTCAACCTATTTATGGCCCATGCAATATAAAGGGAAGTCTAATAGGAATGTTCAGAGAAAGCCTTTGCCAGGCTCTAACAGAGACAGATGCTACCAAATTCTTCACTGGTACCATTAGTTTTGCTTTTATTTCTGCCTTGTAACATATGAGTTTTCTGTAGTTACAACAGCTATTTTTTTATCATGAGTTGAAAATCTTAATGATAAAAAATTAACATCTATGTATGATAGAGTTGGAATCTAAAAAAAGCCTAGGTTTATGAGTTTCTTGATAATACTAAGTGACTAACCCTGAGACAATCAACCTTCAGACCTCTGATTAAGTAAATTATAAATATTTCAATTATGCTCTGCTCATTAGTCTCCTATTGCTTGCAGCTGAATTTTTTTTTTAACCAACACAATATTGTTATGAAAATGGGGAAAAGGTAATGATGGCAGTTTGACAAATAGATAAAGGTTTTAACCCATGGAAGTGTTAGTAATAAATAGCATTTAGAAGCTGAGAAAGAAGGCTGGAGCCTGGGTCCACAAATGTGTGAGTCAAAATCAGACATTCATTTGGGAGACTGGGAATATCAGAAACATGACAAAACCTTGAGTCAAACTTAATTTTGTAAGAAACTGTCCAATTATTCAAACTTGATTGTTGTTTTTATAGAAGACACTAGGCTAAGCTTATAGGTAAACAGGACAAAGCATCTGACACTAAAGTCATTATAATATATTGGGTCACTCAGATACATAAATGACATAAAGTGGTGAGTGGTAAGGTATAGATTTGTGATTTTTACTCTAAATAGTGTTAAAGTGGGTTTTAAAATAGAATACACTTAACGTGAGAAACCATTGGTTTGGTATATGGTACTGATGATTCTCAGAGAAAACCCAGTTCACCCCCCATGTTCTTTCCATGATTCTTTCGCTCCTTGGAAATTGTTGACAAAGACACAACATACCAGAATCTCTGGGACACATTCAAAGCAGTGTGTAGAGGGAAATTTATAGCACTAAATGCCCACAAGAGAAAGCAGGAAAGATCTAAAATTGACACCCTAATATCACAATTAAAAGAACTAGAGAAGCAAGAGCAAACACATTCAAAAGCTAGCAGAAGGCAAGAAATAACTAAAATCAGAGCAGAACTGAAGGAAATAGAGACACAAAAAACCCTTCAAAAAATCAATGAATCCAGGAGCTGGTTTTTTGAAAGGATCAACAAAATTGATAGACCGCTAGCAAGACTAATAAAGAAGAGAGAAGAATCAAATAGAAGCAATAAAAAATGATAAAGGGGATATCACCACTGATCCCACAGAAATACAAACTACCATCAGAGAATACTATAAACACCTCTACGCAAATAAACTAGAAAATCTAGAAGAAATGGATAAATTCCTCGACACATACACCCTCCCAAGACTAAACCAGGAAGAAGTTGAATCTCTGAATAGATCAGTAACAGGCTCTGAAATTCAGGCAACAATTAATAGCTTACCAACCAAAAAAAGTCCAGGACCAGATGAATTCACAGCCGAATTCTACCAGCAGTACAAGGAGGACCTGGTACCATTCCTTCTGAAACTATTCCAATCAATAGAAAAAGAGGGAATCCTCCCTTACTCATTTTATGAGGCCAGCATCATCCTGATACCAAAGCCTGGCAGAGACACAACAAAAAAAAGAGAATGTTAGACCAATATCCCTGATGAACATCGATGCAAAAACCTCAATAAAATACTGGGAAACCGAATCCAGCAGCACATCATAAATCTTATCCACCATGATCAAGTGGGCTTCATCCATGGGATGCAAGGCTGGTTCAACATACGCAAATCAATAAATGTAATCCATCATATAAACAGAACCGATGACAAAAACCACATGATTATCTCCATACATGCAGAAAAGGCCTTTGACAAAATTCAACAACGCTGCATGCTAAAAACTCTCAATAAATTAGGTATTGATGGGACGTATCTCAAAATAATAAGAGCTGTCTATGACAAACCCATAGCCAGTATCATAATGAATGGGCAAAGACTGGAAGCATTCCCTTTGAAAACTGGCACAAGACAGGGATGCCCTCTCTCACCACTCCTATTCAACATAGTGTTGGAAGTTCTGGCCAGGGCAATCAGGCAGGAGAAGGAAATAAAGGGTATTCAATTAGGAAAAGAGGAAGTCAAATTGTCCCTGTTTGCAGACGACATGATTGTATATCTAGAAAACCCCATCATCTCAGCCCAAAATCTCCTTAAGTTGATAGGCAACTTCGGCAAAGTCTCAGGATACAAAATCAATGTGCAAAAATCACAAGCATTCTTATACACCTATAACAGACAAACAGAGAGCCAAATCATGAGTGGACTCCCATTCACTATTGATTCAAAGAGAATAAAATACCTAGGAATCCATCTTACAAGGGACGTGAAGGACCTCTTCAAGGAGAACTACAAACCACTGCTCAAGGAAATAAAAGAGCATACAAACAAATGGAAGAACATTCCATGCTCATGGGTAGGAAGAATCAATATCGTGAAAATGGCCATACTGCCCAAGGTAATTTACAGATTCAATGCCATCCCCATCAAGCTACCAATGCCTTTCTTCACAGAATTGGAAAAAACTACTTTAAAGTTCATATGGAACCAAAAAAGAGCCCGCATCGCCAAGTCAATCCCAAGCCAAAAGAACAAAGCTGGAGGCATCACACTACCTGACTTCAACCTATACTACAAGGCTACAGTAACCAAAATAGCATGGTACTGGTACCAAAACAGAGATATAGACCAATGGAACAGAACACAGCCCTCAGAAATAATGCCACATATCTACAACTATCTGATCTTTGACAAACCTGACAAAAACAAGCAATGGGGAAAGGATTCCCTATTTCATAAATGGTGCTGGGAAAACTGGCTAGCCATATGTAGAAAGCTGAAACTGGATCCCTTCCTTACACCTTATACAAAAATTAATTCAAGATGGATTAAAGACTTAAATGTTAGACCTAAAACCATAAAAACCCTAGAAGAAAACCTAGGCAATACCATTCAGGACCTAGGCATGGGCAAGGACTTCATGTCTAAAACACCAAAAGCAATGGCAACAAAAGCCAAAATTGACAAATAGGATCTAATTAAACTAAAGAGCTTCTGCACAGCAAAAGAAACTACCATCAGAGTGCACAGGCAACCTACAGAATGGGAGAAAATTTTTGCAATCTACTCATCTGACAAAGGGCTAATATCCAGCATCTACAATGAACTCAAACAAATTTACAAGAAAAAAACAACCCCATCAAAAAGTGGGCAAAGGATATGAACAGACACTTCTCAAAAGAAGACATTTATGCAGCCAAAAGACACATGAAAAAATGCTCATCATCTCTGGTCATCAGAGAAATGCAAATCAAAACCACAATGAGATACCGTCTCACACCAGTTAGAATGGCGATCATTAAAAAGTCAGGAAACAACAGGTGCTGGAGAGGATGTGGAGAAATAGAAACACTTTTACACTGTTGGTGAGACTGTGAACTAGTTCAACCATTGAGGAAGTCAGTGTGGGGATTCCTCAGGGATCTAGAACTAGAAATACCATTTGACCCAGCAATCCCATTATGGGGTTTATACCCAAAGGATTATAAATCATGCTGCTATAAAGACACATGCACACGTATGTTTATTGCGGCACTATTCACAATAGCAAAGACTTGGAACCAACCCAAATGTCCAACAATGATAGACTGTACTAAGCAAATGTGGCACATATACACCACGGAATACTATGCAGCCATACAAAATGATGAGTTTATGTCATTTGTAGGGACATGGATGAAGCTGGAAACCATCATTCTCAGCAAACTACCACAAGGACAAAAAACCAAACACCGCATGTTCTCACTCATAGGTGGGAATTGAACAATGAGAACACATGGACACAGGAAGGGGAACATCACACACTGGGGCCTGTTGTGGGGTAGGGGGATGGGGGAGGGATAGCATTAGGAGATATACCTAATGTTAAATGATGAGTTAATGGGTACAGCACACCAACATGGCACATGTATACATATGTAACTAAGCTGCAGGTTGTGCACATGTACCCTAAAACTTGAAACCCCGTCTCTACTAAAAATACAAAAAATTAGCTGGGCGTGGTGGTGGGTGCCTGTAATCCCAGCTACTCAGGAGGCTGAGGCAGGAGAATGGTGTGAACCCGGGAGGTGGAGCTTGCGGTGAACCAAGATAGCGCCACTGCAGTCCGGCCTAGGCGAAAGAGCGAGACTCTGTCTCAAAAAAAAAAAAAATAAATAAAAAATAAAGAAAAATAAATTGTTGACAATAAACTCGTATTAACATGTGTTAATAAAGGTCAAAGGGGATCTTTAAATGAAAACTGACCCTCTGTGAAAGCAGATTGGTATCAAAGTTAGAAAGAGGATATAGATGTAAAGAAGAGAAGCAAAATTAAATTGTTTAAAGTTGAACAAATTTGAACAGAAGATAAATTTAAAAAGAAACATAAATGAATGAAAAAACTCACAAACTTGTGTACACTCAATTATTCAAATATTTTAAATCTATATTCTTGTAGAGGAGGTAGGCTATGGTTCTCTGGAAGACAAATTGCCACTGAGACTGCAACATGGATCCTAAGGTAGCTAGTTATTTCCAGAAAATGGATTTGTTACCTTCAGGTTTACTCTAAACAGGTAGGAGGGGCCCTATTGTAGTTCCATGTATTGAGAGAGCCCCTCTAGGACTTTCCTCTGCAGCAGCATAATCCGTGGGGCCAAAGGAACTTGCTTTATCATTAGACCACGCTTTGAGCAATTGTTTTTTGCAGTTACTTTTTATATTAGTTTAATGAAAAAGAGAGAAGTAAAGTTGCATTGATACTATATTTCATAATAACTTATATGATAACCTTTACTAGGGGTCATTTTTTTTTTAATTCAAGTTACTGTCTGGTATCACTTCTGTTCAACCTGAGAAATACCCTTCAGGGTTTCTTGTTAAACAAATTTGATAGTGTTGAATTCTCTCAGCCTGTTTGGCTGAGAGAATATTTATTTTTATTTCTCTTTAATTTTTGAAAACCCATTTTTCCTGATACAGGATTCTTGGTTGACATTGTGCTCTTTTCAGCATTTTTAATGTGCTAACTTTTAGCTTTCTTGCCTCTATTCCCTCTGATGAGAAGTCAATTGATCATTTTGTGGTTTCCTTAATGTATGAGTCATTTTTCCCTTGATACTTTCAAAACTTTCTTTTTATCTTTGTCTTTAACAGTTCGCCTGGCTGGGCGCGGTGGCTCACGCCTGTAATCCCAGCTCTTTGGGAGGCCGAGGCAGGCAGATCACGAGGTCGAGATTGAGACCATCCTGGCCAACATGGTGAAACACCATCTCTACTAAAAATACAAAAATTATCTGGGCGTGGTCACGGGCACCTGTAATCCCAGCTACTTGGGAGGCTGAGGCAAGAGAATCGCTTAAACCCGGCAGGTGGAGGTTGCCGTGAGGCGAGATTGCACCACTGCACTCCAGCCTGGCGAGAGTGAGAGAGCGTTCAAAAAAACAAACAAAAAAAAAACAAAAGCAAAAAAACAAAACAAAACAATAGGTTGCCTATGACATAGTATGACATAGCTAGGTACTGGTTATCTTGTGTTTATTTTACTTGGAGTTTGTTTGTTCTAGTTATTGAGTGTCTAGACTAAATTTTTTAATCAAATTAGATGTTTTTCATTATTCTTCAAATATTTTTCCTGCCACTTTCTCTCATTCCTCTCCTTTCGCAATTATGCTATGTGTATGTTGGTATGTTTAATAGTGTTTCATATGTCTTTCAATTTCTGTTTGTTTTTTCTTCATTCTTGTTTCTTCTTGTTTTTGGTGGCCTGAATAATCACACCCCTACACACACACGCACAATGCCCACATTCTAATCTCATTACATGGAAAATAGACTTCAATAATGTGATTAGGTGAAGGATCTTGTGATAGGAGTATTATCCAGGCTTATCTAGGTAGGCCCTATATAAACATAGGCATGCTTATATGAGGGATGCAAGATATCAATGTGGACAGAAGGTGATATAAAGAAAGAAACAGAGACTTGAATGATGTGGCTACGAGCCAAGGAATACCAAGGCAGCCTATAGAGAATAGAGGAGGCAGGAAATGGATTCTTCCCTGGAATCTTCAGAAGGAACCACCTCTGTAGATAGATTGTTTTTAGTGTTTCAAAATATAGAATTTGAACAAGTGACCTCCAGAGCTGTCAAAGAGTAAAAATGTTGAAGTCATTAAGTTCATGGTAATTTGTTACAGAAGCTATAGGAATGTAATTTGTATATACACACACACACACACACACATATATTTGTTACTTATAGATAGTATATGTTTATTATATATATTTATAAGTATATATATATGGTACTTTTTCGTTTTTTCCAATTTTTATTTTAGATTCAGGGTGAACATGCATAGGCTTGTTACATGGGTAAGTTGGATGTTGTGAGGTTTGTTGCATAAATTACTTAATCACTCAGGTAATAAGGTAATAAGCATAGTACCCAATAGGTATGTTTTCGAACCTCATCCTCTATCCTCAAGTAGGCCTTGGTGTCTATTGTTCCCTTCTTAGTACCCATGTATACTCAGTGTTTAACTCTTACTTATAAGTAAAAACATGAGATATTTGGTCTACTGTTTCTGCATTAATTTGCTTAAGATAATGGCTTCCAGCTGCAACCATGTTGATGCAAAGGACATGCTTTTGTTCTTCTTATGTTTGTGTACTATTCCCTGGTGTATGTGTGCCATGTTTTCTTTATCCAGTCCACCATTAATGATCATCTAGGTTGATTCCATGTCTTTGCCACTGTGAATAGTGCTGTAATAAACATACATGTGTATGTGTTTTTACGGTAGAATGATTTATTTTTCTTTGGGTATATACCCAGTAATAGGATTGCTGTGTTAAATGGTAGTTTGGTTTTAAAATCTTTGAGACATCTCCATACTGTTTTTCATAGATGTTATACTAATTTATATTCCCATCAACAGTGTATAAGAATTCTCTTTTCTCCACCACCTCAACAACATCTGTTATTTTTTTGACTTTTTAACAGTAGCCATTCTGACTGGTGTGAGATGGTACCTCACTGTGGTTTTGATTTGCATTTCTCTAATAATTAGTGAGACTAAGCGTTTATTCACATGTTTCTTGGCCACTTGTATGTCTTCTTTTGAGAAGTGACTTTTCATTTGTTTTGCCTATTTTTTAATGAAGTTGTTTGATTTTTGATTATTGATTTAAGCTCCTTATAGATTATGGATACTAGACCTTTTTTGTCAGATGCATAGCTTGCTATTTTCTCCCATTCTGTAAGTTGTCTATTTATTGTGTTGATAGCTTATTCTGCTGCACAGAAGCCCTTTAGTTTAATTAGGCCTCACTTGTCGATTTTTGCTTTTGTTGCAATTACTTTGGAAGTGTTTATCACGAAATCTTTGCCATGATCCATGTCCACAATGGTGTTTGTTAGGTTTTCTTCCAAGTTTTGTTTAGTTTTAGGTTTTACATTTGCACCTTTAATCTATCTTGTGTTGATTTTTGTATATGGTGAAAGGAAGGGGTCCAGTTTTAATCTTCAGCATATTTCTAGCCAGTTACCCTAGCACCATTTATTGAATAGGAAGTCCTTTCCCTACTGTTTCTTTTTGTCAACTTTGTTGAAGATCAGATGGTTGCAGGTGTGAAGCTTTATTTCTGGGTTCTTTATCCTGTTCCATTGGTCTGTAAGTTTGTTTTTGATCCAGTACCACGATGTTTTAGTTACTGTAGCCTTGTTGTATAGTTTGAAGTCAAGTAGTGTGATGCCTCCAACTTTTTCCTTTTTGCTTAGGATTGCTTTGGCTATGCGAGTTCTGTTTTAGTTGCATATAAATTTTAAAGAAGCTTTTCCTAAATCTGTGAAAAATGTTGATGATTATTTGATAGGAATACATTGAATTCTGTGAATTACTTTGGGTAGTATGGCCATATAAATTTGTTTTTGAGATTGAATAATCTCTGTTGCTTCATCTTCATATTCATGAATTCTTCTACCACTTAAATTCTGCTGTTGAGGCCATGTACTAAATTTTTCATTTAAAAATTTAAAATTTTCAGTTATTATACTTTTAACTGCAGAGTTTCCCTTTTGTATATTTTTAAAATGCCTATTTACTGATATTCTTGATAAAAGGGTCACTGTTGTTATGTTTTCTGGTTTTTGTTGTTTTTTTTTTTGAGACGGAGTCTCACTGTGTCACCCAGGCTGGAGTGCAGTGGCGCGATCTTGGCTCACTGCAACCTTCATCTGCTGGGTTCAAACAATTCTCCTGCCTCAGCCTCCTGTGTAGCTGAGACTACAGGGGTGCGCCACCATGCCCAGCTATTTTCTGTATTTTTAGTAGAGACAGGGTTTCACCACACTGGCCAGGCTGATCTCGAACTCCTGACCTCGTGATCCACTGCCTCGGCCTCCCAAAGTGCTGGGATTACAGGCGTAAGCCACCAAGCCCAGCCTATATTTTCATTTAATTATTATATTTAAACATGCTCTTCTTTACTTTTCTGTTTGGAATATTTGTGTTTGAAAAAATATCTCAAATTATTTAAAAACAATTTGTATTGACTCTCTTTTTCTCCAATGTGTGTTATGCTATCCTGTTACTTTGTATATCTTTTTTTTAAAACACTGGACATTTTAGCATAATATATCATAACAAGTATAGATTATTTTTCTTATCTCCAAGTGACTTCCTTTGTTTTTGTGTTTTGATTGTTTATTCAATGATTACCCTGAATTATTCATTTAAAATGTATTTCTTCCAAACTGTATAGCTACTGATTTCACTGCCAAGTTTTTGTTTTCTTGTTTTTATTTTTAAGTTTGGATCTCCCCTGTTTCAACTTAGACAAGTAACTACCTAATGATTCGTCATAGGTTTTGTTTAAACTTGATCTGGTACGTCTCCCACCTTTTGCCATTGGATCTGTTTGTAGCTGAAGAGAATACAAGTTTAGGGAGTTGACAGCTGTGTTCCACTTTCAGTCAGGAGTAGTAGCTCACACATTTTCTCTGTAGTCACTCATGATAAAATTGTGGCCTTACACATATGCATAGGTTCTGAACCACCAGTACTATGTGGTATCAACATGGTGGTCTTTTACCTTCCCTTTCCCTTTATCTCCATGTTAAGTTTCTGAGTTGTCTGTAAATTTAAAGCTTGAATGAACTAATTACCCTGAGATGTTGGCCTACACTAATCATTTGCTGTTGAGATCTATATATTTTTCTCCACAACATTCTTGGGCATGAATTTTTCCATAGTCTGCTCCAAATAATGTCAATTTCTTTAGGTGGGACCACAGACCTGGGGGTGGAATGTGTTGGGATGGGAGCTGCCCCTAACTGAAATAACAGACGCCAAGATTCAGTACATTTTGTTGAATAAGTGCTTCTCAATTTGCATTTTTTCTTTTGCTCAATTCACAAATGATTTAAACAGCTATTAATGACAATTTGTCAAGTTATATAGTTGCTTTTGGGGAAGGAGCACTTGTCAAGTTGACACAGTCATTCTGGAGTGTTCCAAATCTAATCTTTGTGAGGCAGAAAGAAAATTTCAGTTTCTGTTTTTATTATGAAAATTTATTTTCAGGAAATTGAAGTGTTCATAAAAAATTTCCCAAATACTATAGTAACAGTAGATAACTATATTTATTTTCTGGATAATAAAATACAAAGTATGTAACATTTAAATGCCAACTTCCACACATATTACAGTTGGAGACTCCTACATCTGAATACTGTTTTGATAGTTATTATCCTTGTAGTGTAGACCGTGTATCTTAAACTCTTTGGACTGAAATCACTTATTTACAAATATAAGATAACCATATGCAAGTCAGAATCTTTTAAGGCTTGAATGAGATAATATATAAAATTTCTGCCCAGTGCAGATTGTGGAATATATTAAACACTGAGTTAATATCAATTATATTATTCTTAAAATTTATTATTATATCTTGAGAGATTTTAAGTGTGTGCATTTCCACCTGTAACAGTATTTTTTTCTCTAATGATAAAATAACATCTCAAAGAGTAGGACTGCATCTGTACATGGAATTAACAAAAAAGTTTTAACACCTTATTCAATGTTTGCACAGATAATCTTTTTAGTTACAATAATAAAATGAAAGGAGAATCTACATGAATTTCCTGTAAGAATAATAAAGATGATTAATAGAACTTTGAGGTTTCATAACAACTTTTTCTAAGCTGAATATATAGATTAACTAGTAAAGTCATCTCTTTGTAAAATTGATTTTTCCCCTTTCCTTCAATGAAGAATTGATTTTCTAGACTTTTTTGATAATTAATTCAATTTTAAAGTATTTTTGTTTGAACATTTACTCATCTGGAAAATAACTACCAGGTTTTCATTTTGTTTGCCAGAAAAACACTTTAGTACATTTAATATATAACAAACCTTAAGATTTAGGTTATTTAATACATCTAAAATTATATACTTGAATGCGTTTTTTAATTTTAAATTTTTGTGGGTGTATAGTAGGTGTACATGAGATATTTTGATACAGACATGCAATACATAATAATCACATCAGAGTAAATGATGTATCCTTCTCTTCAAGTATTTATTCTTTGTGTTGGAAGAAATCAGATTATACTCTTTAAGTTATTTTAAAATTTACAATTTAATTATTTTTGACTCTAGTCACCTTTTTGTGCTATCAAATACAAGGTCTTAATCATTATTTCTGTTTTGTTGTACCCCTTAACCATCCCCACTTCCATCTCCATGCCCCTACTGCCCTTCCAAGCTTCTAGTAACCAACCTTAGACTATCTCCATACATTCAATTGTTTTAATTTTTAGCTCTCACAAATAAGTGAGAATATGTGAAGTTGGCTTTTCTGTTCCTGGCTTATTTGACTTAACATAATAATGTGCATTTCCATCCATGTTGTTGCAAATGGCAGAATCACAGTATTTTCCATGGCTGGCACTCCATTGTGTATAGGTACCACATTTTCTTTGTTCATTCATCTGTTGATGGACACTTGTTTCCAAATCTAGGCTATTGTGAATAGTGCTGCAACAAACATGGGAGTGCAGAAATATATTTATTTCTCTTCTTTTGGGCGTACATCTAGGAGTGGGATTGCTGTATCATATGGTAGCTATATTTATAGTTGTTTGAGGTAACTCCAAACTGTTCTCCATAGTGATTTTGCTAATTTACATTGAAACCAAGAATGTACAAGGGTTACCTTGTCTCCATATCCTCATCAGTATTCCTTATTGCCTGTCTTTTTGATATAAGCCTATTTATATGGGCTGAGAAAACATATCATTATAGTTTTCATTTACAGTTGTCTGATAATCAGTGATGTTCAGCACCTTTTTTGTATATTTGTCTGCTATTTGTAGGCCTTCATTTGAGAAATGTTTACACAGATATTTTGCCAATTTTTCAGTGAGATTACTACATTTTTTCCTCTACAGTTCTTTGAGCTTCTTACATATTCTGGCTATTAATTCTTTGCAGATGGGTAGTTTGCAAAAATTTTCTCCTATTTTGTGGGTTGTCCATTTACTTTGTTGATTGTTTCCTTTGCTCTGCAGAAGCTTTTTAACTTGATGTGATCCCATGTTTTCATTTTTGCTTTGGTTGCCTGTGCTTGTGGACTATTATTCAATAACTCTTTGTTCTATCTAATGTCATGGAGAGTTTCCCCAATGTTTTCTTTTAGTATTTTCATAGTTTAGGTCTAGATTTAAGTCTGTAATCTGTTTTGATTAGATTTTTGTATACTACAAGAGATAGGGGTCTAGTTTCATTCTTCCACATATGAATATTTTTTTCCCAGCACCACTTATTGAAAAACCTATCCTTTCACCAATGTGTGTTCTTGGCAACTTTGTCAAAAATGAGTTGACTGTAGATTTACAGATTTATATCAGAGCTCCGTATTCGGTTCCATTGGTCTATGTGTCTGTTTTTATGCCATTTTGGTTACTGTAGTTCTGTAGCATTATTTGAAGGCAGGTAAGGTGATTCCTTCATTTTGTTTTTCTTGCTTAGAACAACTTTGGCTATTCTGGGTCATTTATGGTTCCATATAAATCTTAGGGCAGTTTTTTAAAAATATTTTTCTGGAGAATGTTATTGGTGCTCTGATAGATACTGTGTTGAATTTGTAGATTTCTTTCGGCAGCATGGACATTTTAACAATATTGATTATTCTAATCCATGAACAAGGGATATATTTCCATTTTTTTTGCCCTCTTCAATTTATTTTATCAGTGTTTTTTAGTTTTTATTGTATAGATAGTGCACTTTTTTTGGTTAATTACTAGGTATTTAATGTAAATGGGATTACTTTTTAAATTTCTTTTTCAGATTGTTCACTGTTAGCATATAAAAATGCTACTGATTTTTGTATGTTGATTATGTATCTTGTAACTTTACTGAATTTGTTTATCAGGTTCTAATCGATTTTCAGTGGAGTCTTTAGGTTTTTCCAAATATAATATTAGATTATCTGCTAACAAGGATAATTTGACTTCTTTCTTTCTGATTTGGATGACTTTTATTTCTTTATCTTGTCTGATTGTTCTAATTAGAACTTCCAGTACTATGTTGAATAACAGTGGTGAAAATGGGCAACCCTGTGGTGATCCAGATCTTAGACGAAAGGTTTTCAGATTTTTCCTTTCAGTATGATACTAACTGTGGGTCTGTCATATATGGCTTTTATTATTTTGAGGTATGTTCCTTCTATCCCTAGTTTTTTAAAAGTTTTTTATTATTATTATGAGGGGATGTAGAATGTTATCGAATGTGATTTCTGCATCAATTGAAATGATCACATATGTTTTCCTTCTTTCTATTGATATGATGTATCATATTAGTTGATTTGCATATTTGGAACTATCCTTGCATCTCTGGTATAAATCCCACTTGATCATGATGATTGATCTTTTTAATGTGTTGTTGAATTCAGTTTCCTTGTATTTTGTACAGGACTTTTGCGTCAATATTCATTAGTGATACTGGTCTATAGTTTTCTTTGCTTGATGTGTTTTTATCTGATTCAGAGATGGGGGTAATACTGGGCTCATTGAATAAGTTAGAAATACTCCCTTCTCCTCTATTTTGGAATAGTTTGAGTAGGATTGGTATTCTTCTTTAAAGGTTTAATAGACTTCAGCAACGAAGTCATCAGACCCCAGGCTTTTCTTTCATGGAAGAATTTTCGTTATGACTTTGATCTCATTATTTGTTATTGTTCTGTTTGTGTTTTTGATGTTTTCATGTTTTAAATTTTGGCAGGTTTTATCTGTTTAGGAATGTATCAATTTCTTCTAGATTATTTAAATTTATAATTAATTAGTGCTTATAAGTATCCACAATAATCCTTTGAATTTCTGGTTGTAATATCTCCTGTTTCAGCTCTGATTTTATTTATTTGCTCTTCTCTCTTTTTTTTCTTACTTAGCCTGGCTAATGGTTTGTCAATTCTGTTTATATTTTCAAAAAAAAAAGTCTTTGTTTCATTTATATTTTATATTGTTTTATTCATTTAAATTTCCTTTATTTCTTATCTGATCTTTATTATTTATTTTCTTCTACTAAATTTGGGTTTTGTTTTCTCTTGATTTTCTACTTATTTAAGATGCTTGCTCATTGTTAATTTTAAATTTCTCTTCTTTTTTCATGTCAGTGTTTATATACTTCTTAGTACTGCTTTCACTGTATTCCATAGGTTTTGGTATGTTGTATTTCCATTATCATTTATTTCAAGAAATTATTCAGTTTCCTTCTTTTTAATTTCTTCATTGGTCATAAAGGAGCATATTGTTTAATTTTCATATACTTGTATAATTTCCAAAATTCCTCATTATTGATTCCTAGTTTTATTCTATTATGTTCAGAGAAGACATTTTATATTATTTGAATTTTATTGAGTGTTTTAAGACTTGATTTGTGAATTAACATATCCTTTATCCTTGAGAATCATCCATGTGCTAAGGAAAATAATGTGTATACTTCAGCCGTTTGATGAAATGTACTATAAGTATCTATTAGCTATATTTTGCCTACAGCGTAGAGTAAGTCTGATGTTTCTTTGTTGATTTTCTGTATGGTTGATCTGTCCAGTGTTGAGACTGGGGTGTTGAAGCTTCCAGCTAGTATTGTATTTAGCTTTAATAATATTTGCTTTGTATATATGGGTGTTCCAGTGTTGGGTGCATATATATTTGAAATTGTTATATAGTCTTGCTGAATTGACCTCTTTATCATTATGTAACTACCTTCTATGTCTCTCCTTATAGTTTTTAATCTTGAAAACTATTTTGTCTGACATAAGTGTAGCTATTGCTTTTGTTTGTTTGTTTGTTTGTTTCCACTGGAATAGAAGCTGTTTCTCTATCCCTTTATTTTTACAGGTGAAGTATCTTTCTTGTAGGCAACAAATCACTGGGTCTTGGTTTGTTTGTTTGTTTGTTTTAATCCATTCAGCCACTCTATGTCTTTTAATTGGAGGGTTTAGTCCATTTGCATTCAATGTTATTATTGATAAGTATGTACTTACTCCTGCCATTTTGTTACTTGCTTTTTGGTTGCTTTGCGGTCTTCCTTCTTTCCTTTCTGTCTTCCCATAGTTAAGGTAATTTTCCCTGGTGGTATGATTTAATTTCTTGCTTTTTAGTTTTGTGTATCATATATATATATATGATATATGTATATATATACATACACACGTATTTATTTAATTTGATGATACCTTGAGACTTACAAATACTATTATAAAACCCATTATTTTAAACTGATAACTGCAAAGACAAACAAAATGAAGAATAGAAAAATAATAAAAACTTTACACCCAATATCATACTGAATGGGCAAAAACTGGAAGCATTCCCTTTGAAAACTGGCACAAGACAGGGATGCCCTCTCTCACCACTCCTATTCAACATAGTGTTGGAAGTTCTGGCCAGGGCAATCAGGCAGGAGAAGGAAATAAAGGGTATTCAATTAGGAAAAGAGGAAGTCAAATTGTCTCTGTTTGCAGACGACATGATTGTATATCTAGAAAACCCCATCATCTCAGCCCAAAATCTCCTTAAGCTGATAAGCAAATTCATCAAAGTCTCAGGATACAAAATCAATGTACAAAAATCACAAGCATTCCTGTACACCAACAACAGACAAACAGAGAGCCAAATCATGAGTGGACTCCCATTCACAATTGCTTCAAAGAGAATAAAATACCTAGGAATCCAACTTACAAGGGATGTGAAGGACCTCTTCAAGGAGAACTACAAACCACTGCTCAATGAAATAAAAGAGGATACAAAGAAATGGAAGAACATTCCATGCTCATGGGTAGGAAGAATCAATATCGTGAAAATGGCCATACTGCCCAAGGTAATTTACAGATTCAATGCCATCCCCATCAAGCTACCAATGCCTTTCTTCACAGAATTGGAAAAAACTACTTTAAAGTTCATATGGAACCAAAAAAGAGCGTGCATCGCCAAGTCAATCCTAAGCCAAAAGAACAAAGCTGGAGGCATCACACTACCTGACTTCAAACTATACTACAAGGCTACAGTAACCAAAACAGCATGGTACTGGTACCAAAACAGAGATATAGATCAATGGAACAGAACAGAGCCCTCAGAAATAACGCCGCATATATACAACTATCTGATCTTTGACAAACCTGAGAAAAACAAGCAATGGGGAAAGGATTCCCTGTTTAATAAATGGTGCTGGGAAAACTGGCTAGCCATATGTAGAAAGCTGAAACTGGATCCCTTCCTTACACCTTATACAAAAATCAATTCAAGATGGATTAAAGACTTAAACGTTAGACCTAAAACCATAAAAACCCTAGAAGAAAACCTAGGCATTACCATGCAGGACATAGGCATGGGCAAGGACTTCATGTCTAAAACACCAAAGCAGTGGCAACAAAAGACAAAATTGACAAATGGGATCTAATTAAACTAAAGAGCTTCTTCTGCACAGCAAAAGAAACTACCATCAGAGTGAACAGGCAACCTACAAAATGGGAGAAAATTTTCGCAACCTACTCATCTGACAAAGGGCTAATATCCAGAATCTACAATGAACTCAAACATATTTACAAGAAAAAAACAAACAACCCCATGAAAAAGTGGGCAAAGGACATGAACAGACACTTCTCAAAAGAAGACATTTATGCAGCCAAAAAACACATGAAAAAATGCTCATCATCACGGGCCATCAGAGAAATGCAACTCAAAACCACAATGAGATCCCATCTCACACCAGTTAGAATGGTGATCATTAAAAAGTCAGGAAACAACAGGTGCTGGAGAGGATGTGGAGAAATAGGAACACTTTTATACTGTTGGTGGGACTGTAAACTAGTTCAACCATTGTGGAAGTCAGTGTGGCAATTCCTCAGGGATCTAGAACTAGAAATACCATTTGACCCAGCCATCCCATTACTGGGTATATACCCAAAGGACTATAAATCATGCTGCTATAAAGACACATGCACACGTATTTTTATTGCGGCATTATTCACAATAGCAAAGACTTGGAACCAACCCAAATGTCCAACAATGATAGACTGGATTAAGAAAATGTGGCACATATACACCATGGAATACTATGCAGCCATAAAAAATGATGAGTTCATGTCCTTTGTAGGGACATGGATGAAATTGGAAATCATCATTCTCAGTAAACTATCGCAAGGACGAAAAACCAAACACCGTATATTCTCACTCATAGGTGGGAATTGAACAATGAGATCACATGGACACAGGAAGGGGAACATCACACTCTGGGGACTGGTGTGGGGTGGGGGGAGGGGGGAGGGATAGCATCGGGAGATACACCTAATGCTAGATGATGAGTTAGTGGGTGCAGCGCACCAGCATGGCACATGTATACATATGTAACTAACCTGCACAATGTGCACATGTACCCTAAAACTTAAAGTATAATAATAAAAAAAACTTTACACCCTAACTTGTTCTCCATATATATGTATATATGTATATATGCATATATTTGTATATATATATATATTTGTACTATGTCTTTAAAAGTTATCGCAGTTTTTATTTTTAATTTTTTATGGTTTAGTTTTTCTACTTAAGAGTAGTTTACATACAGTTTACAGTAGTTTACACCACAGTTACAGTGTTACAGTATTCTGTATTTTTCTATCTTCTTACAATTACTAGTGAGTTTTTTACCTTAAGATGATTTATTATTTCTCATTAATGTCTTTTTCTTTGTGTTTGAAGTACTGCCTATAGCATTTGTTGGAGGACAGGTCTGCTGTTGACAAAATCCCTCTGCTTTTGCTTATCTGGAAAAGCCTTTATGTCTTCTTCATCTTCAGAGGATATTTTTGGTGGATATACTATTTTAGGATAATTTTTTTTCCTTTAACCTTTTAACTATGTGATGCTACTCTGTCAGCCTGTAATGTTTCCACTAAAGATCTGCTGCCAGATGTATTGGAGTTTTATTTTATGTTGTTTGTTTCATTTTTCCTACTGCTTTTGGGATCCTTTTTTAAATCCTTGAATTTTGGAAGTTTGATTATTAAATGCCTTCAAGTTGTCTTCTTTGGGTTAAATCTGCTTTGTGTTCTGTTACCTTCTTATAAATGAATGTTGATATTTTTCTCTATGTTTGGGAAGTTTTCTGTTATCATCACTTTGAGTAAACATTATATCCCTATCTCTTTTTCTAACTCCTCTTTAAAGCCAATAACTCTTAGATTTGACTTTTGGAGCCTGTTTTCTGAATCTTGTAGGTGTTCTTCATTCTTTTTTACTCTATTTGTCACTTGTCTCCTCTGACTGTATTTTCAAATGGCCTGTTTTCAAGCTATTTTTTTCTTCTGCTTGATCCACCTTGCTATTAAAGGACTCTGATTACTTCTTCAGTATGCCAATTGCATTTTTTAGCTCTATGATTTCTGCTTGATCCTTTTAAATTATTTGAACATCTTTGTTAAATTTATATGATAGAATTCTGAATTTGTTTGGTGTGTTATCTTGAATTTCATTGAGTTTTCTCAACACAGCTATTTGAATTCTCTTTTTAAAAGGTTACATATCTGGACTTCTCCAAGATTGGTCCCTGGTACCTTATTTCATTCATCTGGTGAGGGCATGTTTTCCTGGATGATGTTGATTCTAGTAGACATTCTTTGGTGTCTCAGCTTTGAATTGGTATGTATTTTAGACTTTACTGTCTGGCCTTATTTGTAGGCAACCTTCTTTGGAAGGCTTTCCAAATATTTAAAGAAACTTGGGTGTTGTGATCTAAGCCTAATCTTCTTTAGAGGGCACCTGAAGCTCAGTGACACTGTTTTTCTCAGACTCGTGAAGTTACCTATTGCCTTGATGGTCTTGGGCCAGATCTGGGGGAATTCTCTGGATTACCAAGCAAAGACTCTTGTTCTCTTTCATAATTTTGTCCCAAACATATAGAGTCCAAACAAACTCACAAATCCCTGAGGTCCACATGCTCAGAGCCCAGCTCAGCACTAGGAATTGCCTAGGAGTTTCAGTCCTTGAGGCCTAGACTGCCTTTCAAGTTTGTTTTATTTAGGCCCTGAGAGCACTTTAATCCATGGTGGCAAGGCTTGTCAAAACTCAGGTTCCAACAACTGGGATGAGTGATTCCCGTCTGGCTAGGGCTGCTCTAAATGCCCCCTCCATGCGTGGACTACACCTGAATTGAGCCTGGTTTTTCTTCCTACTGTGACAGGGCCTTACTGAGTTCAATGCATAGTCTCATAAGAGCTGGGGGTGGAGTGACACAAGCACCCTTGTGGCCACCACTACTGTGACTGCACTGCATCAGTTCTGAAACCAGTACAGCACTGGGTCTCATCCAAGACCTGATGTAATCAGTCCCTGGCTGCTGCCTATTTCCTTTCCACTATTTTATTCTCCTTCCACAGACAGCGAAGCCTCACCCCATGGCCACCACCACTACAAGTCCACAGAGGTACTGCCAGGCTACCGCTGATGTTCACTTAAGAACCAAGGGCTCTTACATCAGTTTGTGCTTAATGCTGCCAGGCCTGGGACTCAGCCTTCAGGGTAATGGGCTCCCATGTGGCCCAGGACATATCCAGAAATGCTGGAATGGTGCTCGTGCTACCTCTCCACCAACCGGCAGCAGCATAGCTCCTGACTCCAAAAGAGACCTCTTTCTTCTGCTTGAGGAAAGGGGAAGGGAGAGTAAAAAAGACTTTTTCTTGCATTTGGATACCAGCTTAGCCACAGTAGGATAGGAAACTCGTCACAGCTGTGAGGTCCCTATTCCAGGTCTTGCTCTGGGTGATACACCTGGACATACATTGGGCAAGAAAAGAACCCAGTGTCTTGAAGGGAAGGACCCAGATTCATCGCCTGCTGACTAAGGAACTCTTAGGCCCTGAATAAACAGCGGTAATACCCACACAGTATACCATGGGCCTTGGGTGAGACTGTGAGATGAGTATATTCCCAGTTGTAATGGCTATGGTGAGAGACTCCATCTACTTCAGAAAAGCAGAGGGAAAAGTAAAGGGGCCTTTGTCTTTCACCTTAGGTACTAGCTCACCCATAGTGGGATAGAGCAGCAAGCAGGCTCTTGGGACCCCCAATTCCAGGTTTTGTCTCTTAGACAGCATTTCTGGACATCTCAGTTAGTGTCTCAGTGGGTCACATATCCCTGAGGTCCGCCTGCTCAGAGCCCAGCTCAGCACTAGGAAATGCCTAGGAGTTTCAGTCCTTGAGGCCTAGACTGCCTTTCAAATTTATTTTATTTAGGCCCTGAGAGCACTTTAATCCATGGTGTCAAGGCTTGTCAAAATTCAGGTTCCAACAACTGGGATGAGTGATTCCCGTCTGGCTAGGGCTGCTCTAAATGCCCCCTCCATGTGTGGGCTACACCTGAGTTCAGGCTGGTTTTCCTTTCTACTGTGACAGGGCCTTACTGAGTTCAATGCATAGTCTCATAGTTGCTGCACTCTCCTTCTCCCAAGAGCAGACCATTCTCTCTCTGCCCCACATAGCTTCTGCTTGGGGATCGAGAAAGTGTAACATCATGAATTCAAGACTGTCTTTCCTACCCTTTTCAGTGCCTTTTTTAGTCATATGAAGTTAAAACTAAGTACTGTGAGTGTTCATCTGATTTTTTGTTCTTATGAAGGTGCTTTTTTTTTTTTTTTGGTAGATAGTTGTTAAATTTGGTGTTCCTTTGTGGGGGACAATTGGAGGCCTATTTTCAGTCATTTTGCTCTGTCCCTCTACTATTGAATACATTTAGTATTTATTGGTAAGTGCTTTCCTCCAGGAGCTTTCAAAATCTTAGGATCAAAAGATATGTAGGTAAAAATCTAGAAAAGACTACTGCCTCTGAGTCCACATCGTCTCTGTATGATATAAATGAATGCATGAATGCATAATTAAATATACAACGAAATATAAATAAATAAAAATAACTTTGTCAGGTTTTGACTGTGTGCAATATTTTAAATTTTAAAAAAATTAAATTATTCACATTGAACTTAAAAGTTTTTATAGGAATAAAATTGTTTGAAAATATCATCTGAGGCCAGGCATGGTGGCTCATGCCTGTAATCCCAGCACTTTGGGAGGCCAAGGCAGATGGATGACTTGAGGTCAGGAATTTGAGACCAGCCTGGCCAATATATATAAATAATACCCAACCAGTTACTGCTTTTAGAGAAAAATAAAGGTCTTTTGAAATTATAGTTGTCTGCATAATGTTAACTTCATAATATATTTTCCATTATACTTAGAATATCCAAAGTTTCTATACATTAATTATTAATTGAAAGTATACTTTTATTATCCAGTTTGGTTCAGGCTCCAGACATGCTAGGATCTTTTTTCTTTTTTTTTTGTAACGGAGTCTTGCTCTCTTGCCCAGGCTGGACTGCGGTGGCAAGCTCCGCCTCCCGGGTTCACACTGTTCTCCTGCCTCAGTCTCCCGAGTAGCTGGGACTACAGGTGCCCGCCACCATGCCTGGCTAATTTTTTGTATTTTTAGTAGAGACGGGGTTTCACCATGTTAGCCAGGATGGTCCCGATCTCCTGACCTCGTGATCCGCCCACCTCGGCCTCCCAAAGTGCTGGGATTACACCCTGAGCCACTGCACCCGGCCTAGCATCTTAACAACAAAGATTGATGAGGAATGAGAGATAGATGGAACTGGATGGAATTGGCTGGGCTGTTTTCAGCTTCTTAGACCCTGGAAGTATGTACTTAACAACTCAATGGTTCTAGAAAATTAATCCATTCAAAATGTGGACAAGATTAGTTAAATGGGAATATGGGAATAAAATATAGTTTCCTAGAGAAAGAGATTAGATTGGTGTATAACATACTAGGACACTCCTCCAGGGGTCTTAGATTCAGACAGTAATTTTCACCTAGCAAAAACCTTAAACTGTGTATGAGAAAACTTCACAGAAGCCTAGTTTTGTTATCTGGGTCAGTAAGGTGAGGAATAGGAGCAGGCTAATGACTTAGCAGCATGGGGCCATGCAGAGTCCTATACCAATATTATCAATTCCAAACCTAATGTAAAATGTCTTTCAAAACTTCACCTACCATGAGGCTAGAAATTCTAATATATTTTATACCCTGACCAGGATTTGTTCTAGAATCTATAGGGCTTAGCATTTGTGTAAAAGCCATCAGTGATGTGTAAAGAATTGTGTACCAGGTCAGAGTGTGTCAGGAGTAGTCATACAAATAACATTGGGGTTTTGGAACAGCATTATGAATTTAAAAACAGAAATTCACACTTGCTATTAAAAGTGGGTAGAAAAAATGTGAAATTTTTGATAAATGCATGGTTAAATTCTCAAGGACAGATGTTGGGAATAGTCTATTCATCAAAGCAAAAACTTATTTCTTTCCTCTTTCTTTTCTGATTTCCCCCTCCCCTTTACCCTCCTCCTCCTCCACTCTTTTTATTTTGATTTTGAAGAAAGAAACCAGAGGTTTCTGAATAATATTATGGCCTAAGAAACACTCTAAATAGATCAAATGCTCTCTTGTTAATGCACATGATATAAGAACATAATAATGTTTTTTCTCTAGATTTCATTTGGAAGTTCATGACATCTAATCTAAATGTAAGCACAGTGTAATGCTTTAAATTATTATTACTGTGTATTACATCTAACAGCCTAAATATTGCAAGGTTTAAAATTAAGAAATATTAAGTTTGCTTTATGTTCCCTGATTTTTTTCATACTTAATGTGAATAAAGATGTCCTTTGTTATCTGTTTTCACATTCATATTCTTTATGCAAAAACATCACTTGTCATCAATCTAAGTACTCTGTATTAAAAAGCAGTCTATATTTTCGTAGCATACAGACTGCCTGTGACTTATAACAGTTTGGCTTAACTTTACCATGGTTCAAAGTTGGTAATGCATTCAGTATGCTCCTGGACTTATCATGGGCCTGAATCTTGTGTTCGTAGTCCCATCATAAGTCAAGGAGCACCTCTATTAATGTTATTATTAGAACATTAACATTTACAGTACTTTGTACTGAAACTTACAACATGAGCATTTCATTAACATTTACAGTGATTCCTGTTGACTTTTTTTTCTGTTTCGTTCTTTGTTATTTTTTATGGTGTATGTATCAGTTAAGATTCTCCAGAGAAAAGTATATATATATATATATAAAGATATATATATAAAGATATATGTATATAAAGATATATATATAAAGATATATATATAAAGATATATATAAAGATATATATATAAAGATATATAAAGATATATATATAAAGATATATATATAAAGATAGATATATAAAGATAGATATATATAAAGATAGATATATAAAGATAGATATATAAAGATATATATATAAAGATAGATATAGATGCACACACACACACACACACACGTATATATATGCTTTATATGCTCTTAAATAATGTGTGCATATATATATATATATATATATATGTATATATAAACTTAAGGAATATTTTCATGCAATTGAGGGGGCGGGCAAGCTCAAAGTTCAAAATCTTCACAGCAGGCCTGCAAGCTGGAAACTCATGCAGGATTTAAACCTGCAGTCCTGAGACAGAAGTTCTCCTTCTTGGGAAACCTCAGTTTTTGCTTTTAAGGTGTCTTGACTGATTCAGTGAAGCCCACCAACTTTATCAAGAATAACGTACTTAGAATCAACTGATTGTAGGTGTTAACCACATCCATAAGTACTTTTCACATCAACACGTAGACTAGTGTTTGATTAAATAACTGAGTACTATAGCCTGGTGAAATAGGCAGGCAAAACTAACCATTGCTCTGTGCAAACTCCTTTTTGTCATAAAAGCTATGACATGAGAACAGTTTAGAACGTAGTGTGTTACATTAACAATTTTAGAATGTACTCACTCACCCTTTCAAGCATACAGACTGCTGTAATTGCTTTGAAATGCAACCTTCAAACACAGTAGAGGAATATAGAATCCCAAACCTTCTTAGATACACCTAAATTATTCTCTCTTTAGAGTATAACAAGATAAAAATTATATATCCCTATAACCCCAATTCTAAGAAATAGTATTTTTAAAGCTTAATAGTATCAGAAGTCACACACACAAACATTAAGGTTGCATAATATGTGCCAGGTGTCTTTTATGGTAGAAATGATATTAAAGTAAAGCCAATAGTCTTTATACATTACCATCAGCTAATTATAAAATATAACTAAATAAACAGCTATTATCAGGATACTAATATAACTCAAAGGAAAAACTGTCTATAGGTCATCCTAGCACATCAATTGGGGCTACCTAAATATGGTGAGTTGGTTGAATAGCATGTAGAATAAAGGTGGCATTCTAGTTACAGAAAACTAGTTATGCATAATTTAGAGATAAGAGAAAACACAATACCCTGGAAAGCAGTTTAGTATCACTGCTAGAATTGGGGACACTTTGAAGCATTGTTGGGAGAAGAGCCCTGCAAGGTTGATGGAGGTCATCCATCCAAAGACTTTGCAGGTTTTGTTTAAGAAATAAAACTTATAATTTTTGGATTTGGGGTTTTATTTTTATTTTCTGTGGGCATTGCCACTAATTAGCTATGTAAAACATCTGTTATATTTTTGCATTACAGACACTTTTTGAAATGCAGGTAGAGAGCAATAATTATGCACATTTTTTAAAAGCTGATAGGCTGGGCACGGTGGCTCATGCCTGTAATCTCAGCACTTTGGGAGGCTGAGGCAGGTGGATCACGAGGTCAAGAGATCGAGACCATCCTGGCTAACGTGAAACCCCGTCTCTACTAAAAATACAAAAAATTAGCTGGGCATGGTGGCAGGGGCCTGTAGTCCCAGCTACTTGGGAGGCTGAGGCAGGAGAATGGCTTGAACCTAGGAGGCAGAGCTTGCAGTGAGCCAAGATCGCACCACTGCACTCCAGCCTGGGTGACAGAGCAAGACTGTCAAAAAAAGCACACACATACACACAAAAAAAAGCTGATATATGCTTTCCTACAGTGAGGGTTATTTGATGTCATATGGCATTACATGTAATTCTTTCTCTTTAAAGGTTGGTATCATATATTTATTATACCTTCTTAACCTGTATTGATACTACATTAAGGGGACCAGGTAATATTAATATATTACCGTTGCTTTTAAAAATGACAAGAATACATTTTGTTAGCAAGTCTAATATTTCTTCCTCACTCCAACGATTTTTAGCTTTTTTCTCTCCATCAAATGATTTTCTTTTTTTAAAAGTAATTTTCTTAGAAGGAATTAATAAACTGTGATGAAATCTAAAGCATTAAGAGAAAACTCAACATTCACTTAGATAGTCATAGCATCTCACAATCCCGTCAAATGAAGTCATGTTGCACCTCTGCCATAGTAAAGAAACTGCCATTTGTGGAACAGAGTGTGATAACCACTGCACTCCAAGATGCTGCTTTAAGTCATGTGTACAAATGATATAAATCATTACTTGTACAAAACTAGAATTTTTGTAAGAAATATACTTTTATTATTGAAATAGAAATTGAATATTAATTAATTAGAAATAAAAAGCTCTTTCACACATTAAGTCATTCTACCTTCTTTTTTTTATTATTATACTTTAAGTTTGGAGATACATGTGCAGAACATGCAGGTTTGTTACATAGGTATACATGTGCCATGGTGGTTTGTTGCATCCATCAACCCGTCATCTACATTAGGTATTTCTCAAAATGGTTTTGCTTTCCAAGATATTTTAATGTATTCTCATTTCCAAATCTATGACTGAATACACTAGTTATATAGATATTCCATGCATTTCATTTACGCTAGCAGGAACAATTTTATGTGCTTTATTTCTAACATATTTTCCTCAAATTTCACTAGTTTAGGGTACCATGCACCCTCATCATCATCTTCATTACCAACATCATATTCACTGCCATAGTTACAGTAGCTAAATTTTAAGCATATTCTCATTTTTATGCACAGATTTCCACATTTATATTCTATATTTTAGAAATAGAAGGTCAGTTTTAAATGTCCAATGGTTAAATGACTTGCTCAATAAAACACAGCCAATAAGTATAAATGCTGAATAGATTCAGGTCATGCTTATAAGTAATGCACTGTCATCTATGTAGGGTCAAAGCTGCAAAAATTTCAAAAACTCCTCCAATAAATTAATATTGTTACTTGTGGTGGCATCATCATGGATTGGTTGTATATGAATATTTTGCATGTTTATTGTAATTTCCAACAATTTATAAATTTTCTTAGTTGAGCATGTGTTTTCCCTGTAATACCTATATCTTTTAATTAAAATATGATAGCAGAAAAATAACTTCAGCTACATCAAAATTAAAAGTAATACCTTTTAAATATATTCCATTACTAAACAAATTATTGCTTGATTTAAATATTTAAATATTTTTTTCCTAATTTTTGAGAATCTCACAATCATTTATTTTTAGATCCACTTCCCATTCCTTCTGTAATATATATGAAGACCTATAATGCATTGACCTTATTAATCTGAAGTCACTCAGATTTTGCTTAGTTTCCTTCCTTCAGTCCAACACTCTTACAATGGAAACAAATGAGTAAAGGGCCAGGGTGAATTGACAGATTCCTGTAAATTAGTTGATAAGACTATGCATTGGAATAATATGTGTAAAATTGCTCCTAAGTATCCAAAATGGTTGGGTTCCAGAATCCCCTTCAGATACCAATATCTGTGGATGTTCAAGTCCTTAATATAAAATGATAGAGTATTTGCATATGGCCTATGCACATCTTTCATATACTTTAAATAATATCTAGACTACTTAAAATATCTAAGAAAATGTAAATGCTATTTAATTGGTGGTTATACAGCATTTTTTAAATTTGCATTATTTTTGTTGTTGTATTTCTTTTTCAAATAGTTTTTTTTTCTTTCTGGTTGGTTGAATTCACAGATATAGAACTTGAAGATACAGAAGGCCATCTGCATGTGTGTATGTCTCTTTGTGTGTGTAACTGAAATAATTTTTTGATATTTAACCAGAAAAGTTCAACCTTTAGTCAGTAGTTGGTATGATCCAATGTAGACTATATAAGGCCTGTACCTGTTAGAGATAGCAGGGCAGTATAAGTTTACTTTATTCTATCTCCTTCATAGAGCTTTCAATGTTCAACTCACTGTGATGCATTGAGTAATCCACAGCAATCATGATGGTGTCCTACATAGAATAATGAGTTGAACAGTTAATTCAAGTGAGACATTATGCCCCTACAGTTCAGTTTAAAGAACATATATTTTTCTAATAGCATACATTTTTTGTAATAACTTACAAAAAATCTTCTGTTAGAATGACATACTAGAGAAAATGTGAAATACAAATTTGGGCAAGTGTGAGATTAATTCTGACCACTAGTCCTAGAAAAGCTAAAACAGACAGGTCAGATGTTGGGTAGTTCTTTAAAAACAGCCAAGTTTTTGCATTTATCTTATTATTTAAAAATAATAATATAATTAAATACTCACCAAAAACACCTAATGACTTGCAGTCATTTTCAAATAAAAGAAATAAAGTGGCCAAAATGTTTATGTAAGATGATACACAGAAGACAAGACAGCAATCCAATCCACAGAGAGCTAATTCAGAACAAACACTGTGAGTGTCATTAGAATCAAATGAATCTCTAAAAGACAACAAAGCTACAGTGGATCAAACATTGTAATGAACAAACTTTTGGTTTGATGGCTTTTAGAGAGTCATTAAATATATAAATTTAAATTTCACTGGCAAATTAAATCATGCAGGTTAACTGACCCTAGGCATATTATTAGTACTAACCAAGTTGAGTTGTGTATGTCAAATTCTCAGTTACCCATGTGTATATTTTAGAGGCTGCTATACACAAAAACAATCAAACACTTTAGCACAGTTCACAAATGACCACTTCTCTTTACTGCTTCATTAATATAACTGGAACTAGGACTTATTTAGCTCCAGCCAAATGATTTCAAAGGGGCTGATTTTTTGAGTCCCTGGGAACAGCATTTCAAAGCAGAAGAGAGATGTGCAGGAAAAAACATAACTACTGAAGCAGTTTGAATGACTTTCAAGTGAGAAAATTAAACTTTGATACTAATAAGGCGGTTACTGAAGCCCTGCTTTCTTTAATTAGTGATCCTATGGGCTGCATAGGACCTAGTAGGTTAGCATTATATGCAAAGAGGAAGAAGGATATTTTATTAAAACTTTGCACTTCAAATTAATGTTCTTTACCATAATATATAAACTATAAATACATTGACCTTGATGTGAGGGCTGGGCTTGATTAAAGAAATGTTTAACAGATAATGAGTAATATCCAATAGATGCAGATGCTTTGAAAAGTGCTTTTAGGACAACATACAATTTTTATTACTTACTCCTTTATTCTTTATTTTAAACATTTTAAAGTAATATTTATTAAATTTCTCTTGTACACAACGGATTATTGTGTTAGAAACTGTGGTAGCCCAGTTTCAATTTCCACTTCTTTCTCTTCTATATGTGTTTTTACCTTGTATTCCTCTAAAATATATTTAAAGTAATATATACATATTCTGCCATTGTATATATATTCATATATGCTATTCAAAGAACTTATTTACACACACTAATATATAAATGTATACACTATAATATATTTATATATAAACTATAAGATAAATTATATATCAAATATTATGCAAATACATATAGTAATAAAATAATGTATATATTACATATATTTACATTAATGTACTTTTAGAATGCAAGAATTATGAGGAAGATAGACTTGTAAGCAAATAAATGCAATGCAGAGTGATTATTGTTAGAAAATTACCAAAAGAGTGCACTAGAAGGGTCAAGGAATCTTTCTTGTGAGGATAAAATGAAATCCAGAGCTCATTTTGTAATGAAAGGTAAGTAAAAGTTCACCAATGGCTAATGGATTCAGATCTTATTTTTTTCTCTCCCCAAAGGGAAAGCATATATAAAAGACCAGAGAGCATACATAAAGAAACAGCATGGCATTTGGAAAAAGAAAATGCAGAAAGAAAATGAATGAAAGTAACATCATATGGTTCTAAAGAGTAGCCTACTGGGAAAGTTGTAAAAGGTGTTGATTGCACTCTCACATGAACCTATAGTTTTTACTTTATCACAAACCTTATTGGAGTCAATAAAAAAAGTTAAATGAGGAGAGTTGCTGGAATATTTAGTGATATTATAGCCCCTTTATTAATTTTTTAAATCAATTTATTCATTCACTCTTTCAAAAAATATATTTTGAGTACATACTACATGACTTAGACATCGGTCATTGGTTTAGTTATATATATCTGAATTTGATTTGTTGTTGCGAACAAAGGCATAGAAAGTCATGGGAAGTAGGGAAGTGATGTCATCAAGATGGCCGAATAGAAGGTAACCTGTTCTTATCCCTCAATAACAAGATTTCTGCTCACACAAGGATCCAGAAGGAGACTTGAATATATAACACAGCTCAGGAGTATGAGCTTCTTGACAAGCTCACCAGCTTCCATCACACAGCAAATTCCAAGGGGGCCCAGTGTCTGCTCTGGCCCCTCTATCTGTAGTTTGTGAACTATCCCAGCTGTGCTGAGACCTGCTGGAAAACATATAACTGTATGGGGCAACAAAGCAACCTTTCTAGCCTCTGTCCCACAGAAGATCCTGAGGATCCCAGTCTCAGGTTCAGCACCCCTGCTGCAATCAGTGAACTATTCTGTCTTTGCAGGGACTTACCGGGAGATGCACACCTGGTCACATTTACTCATATGCAGTCAAAGAACTACATTATGTTGCAAAGAACTACCCTACTTGAGCAGGAACTTGCTGGTTGATACATGCCTATCTGAGACAATAAGATAGACCCATCAGCCTCCTTCCCACAGCACATCCTGAAGGGGGCTGGTCTTGAGTCCAGCCTGTCTAGCTGCATTCAGGAATTCATTCTATCTGTGAAAAGTACTTCTAGGAGGCATGTCTATCTAGGAAAGTGAAAGAGTCTTCTGGACTCAGGCACCTGACCCATATTTCCACACAGCCCCAGAACTCTTCTTGGTCTTCTGAAGTGCATTTGAGCCAGGAAGTCACATCAGCATTATAACCATTGAAAGACTCACAGTGAGTTTGGGCTTAGAGTGTCCTCTAGGGCTTACATGGCTGCAGTGGTCCTATGTGTGGGGAACAAAACTGTCAGTTGGCTTAAAATCCCTGGAAGGCTCTCTGAAGAATAATAAGCACAAATAAAGCCAGATTGTGAAGACTAAAATAAGCACTTAATTCATCAATGTGCAGATACCATCACACTTTCACAAGCATCAAGAATATTCAGAAAAATGTGATCTCACCAAAGAGATAAAATAAGGTGCCTGAAACTGATTCTAAAGTAAGGAATATGTGATGTCTCAAAGAAAAAAATCAAAATAGATGTTTTAAGGAAACTCAACAAACTTCAAGAATATACAGAGTATCAGTTCAGAAATTAATGAGAGATATTTAACAAAAAGACTGACATTTTTAAAATCAAGCAAAAATCTTGGAGCTAAAAATACAATGATTGAAATAAAAAATGCAATAGAAAACATCAATAGCTGAATTAATCAAATAGAAGAAAGAATCAGTAAACTAAAAGACAAACTATTTCAAAACACAGTCAGAGGAGAAAAAGAAAAAAAAAGTAATGAGCAAACTTATACTATCTATGGGACAACATCAAAAGAGTAAATATTCAGATTACTGTAGTTAAAGAGGTAACAGAAAAAGACAAATAGGTAGATAGCTTATTCAAAGAAATAATAACAGAAAACTTTTCAAACCTGGTGAAATATATAAATGTCTGGGTGTGGGAAGGTCAAAGATCACCAATCAGATTCAACCAAATAGGAATACCCAAAGATATATTATAATCAAACGCACAAATGTCAAAGACAAAGAAAGAACTCTGAAAGCTGCCAAGAGAAAAGGATCAGATAACATACAAGGCAACTTCTCAGTAGAAATCTTGCAGGCTAGGATGGAGTGAGACAATATAATCAGAGCACTGAAGAAAAAGTGTTGGACATCAAGAATATTGTACCCAGCATAGCTGTCCTTCAGAAATAAAGGATATAAAAAGACCTTCCCAGACAAAGAAAAGCTAAGATAATTTGTTGCTTTCAGACATGTAATACAAGAACTACTAAAGGAATTTTCTCAGATCTAAAGAAAGAATGTGAATGTGATTGTTATACTAATATTGTCATCACAGTGTTTAAATAAATTACATCTTTAGCAAGAAGACTGAGAGACAAGACATTTAAACATTATCATACGTAAAATATTTTTTAAGAGACAGGGTTTCTGAAAATTTCAAACTATTGGGATAGAAGGGAGTTAATATACATAGTTTCTTTTTTTACTGTGTTTCTTTTTTTGTGATCTAATTTGAGATGGCATCAGTTTTAAATACTTGTTATAACTCTATAATGTTTTGTTTAAGCATCATGGTAACCACAATGCAAAAACCTATAGCAGAGGCACTAAAAATATAAAGCAAAAAAATTAGAACATACTACCAGAGAAAATAACAACAACACACACATACACACACATAAGAAAGGGATAAAGGAGAAGAGTTACAGAATAAGTAAAAACAAGTAAAAGTGGCAGTAGTAAGTCCTTAGCTATCAATAATAACACTGAGTGTAAATGGCTAAATTATCTCATTAAAAGACATAAAAAGTGGCTGAATTGATTAATAGTAAGACCCAACTATATGCTGTCTACAGGAAACTCACTACACTTATAAAGAAACTCACTTCACCTAGAGAGAAAAAGTGAAAGGATGGGAAAACATATTCTATACAACTGAAAATGAAAAAACAGTAGAGGTAGCTATACTTACGTAAAATAGTCTTTGCATTAAAAAAAAACTGTATACAAAGACAAAAAACAGTAATTATATCGTTAACAAGGGGTAGATTCACCAATAGGATATAATAGTAGTAAGTATATATACACCCAACAATGGAGCAACCAAATATATAAATCAAATATTAATGGATATAAAGGGAGAAATAGACTGCAATACAATAACAGTAGGAAAATTTACCATCTCATTTTAGATGATGGACACATTATCGAGGCAGACAATCAACAAAAACAAAAAAAATCCGGGTTATCTGTACTCTAGACCAATGGGTCCAACATGTTTACAGAAGGTTCCACGCAATTGCTACAGAATACACACTTTTTCATCAGCACACGAAAACTTCTTTGGGATAGACCATATGTTAGTTCACAAAACAACTCTCAACAAATTCAAAAGGAGCAGAAACCATATCAAGTATCTTTTATGACTACAGTGGAATAAAACTAAAAATTAATAAAAGACGAGCCTTAGAAAATGCCCATCACATGGAAATTAAACAACATGCTCCTGAATGACCAATAGGTCAATTAATAAATTAGGAAAAAAATAAAAAATATTGAAACAAATGAATATGAAAATATGAAAACACATGCCAGCATCTATGACATACAGCAGCTACAGTGGTACTAAAAAGGAATTTTGTAGCTATAAATGCCTACATCAAAAAAAATTAGAAAGACTTTAAATAGATGAGATTAAAAATATAAAATTTCAGCAAAATATGTTGATTTCTTGAAAAGATTAACAAAGTTGACTTTTGGCTACACAAATCAAGAAAAAAAGAGAAAGACCCAAACAGATGAAATTAGAGAAAAAGGAAACATTACAAGTGATACTACAAATATACAAATGTTGTAGTCTCAGCAGTGCACCAAGATGTAATACTCTTGGCCTTGTCTGAGATAACACCCAAATTTCTTTGTTTTACCTCCAAGAAGATTAAGGAGTGCAGACACAAAGGTGAGGTTAGAGTGAAAGTTTAATAAGTGAAAGAAGAAAGCTCTCTGCCAGCAGAGCAGGGGACCCAAATGGGGTGCCCCCTATGAGGCTGGGGTACAGGATTTTTGTGGACTGGGAAGGGGAAGAAACGTGCTTAGTCAGCGGGCTGCCTTGGAGAATGTGGGACTCAGCTTGGCCTGGGGCGTTGGCCCAGGACCAATCAGAAAGCTGGATTCAGATAGTGGCTGCTCAGTTTGGCCCGGGACCTATCAGGAGCTGAAGTGAAAGCTTGGCCTGGGGCCTTGGCCCAGGACCAATCAGAAGGTTTGACTCAGAGGCTGCTCAGCTTGGCCCGGGACCTATCAGGAGCTGAAGTGAAAGCTTGGCCTGGGACTGTGGCCCAGGACCAATCAGGGGCTGAAGTGATGATTCATAGAGGCCTGATTTACAGTCCAAAAAAAGGAAATAGAATGGCCATAGGAACCCACTGAAGCCCACTGTGCCCATCACCACAAAAGGAGAAGAAACTTTCCTGATAGCCCACTGACTGTATAAAGGACAAAGGTATTTCTATGCCAGTCCTTGTCCCCTTATCTGAGTGAGCCAGAGGTCCGTGCTAGTTTTTATCCAAAATGGTGGGAGGTTTTTCTGTCTGTGCAGGCGTGGGCGTGTCTCCAGGCACAACACCCTGTATAGTTGCCTCATTTGTGCCCGCAGCCTGATTTTTTTTTCCCAGGCTGCTTTTTATGTTATGTGGAGGTGAGGCACTGACCTGTGGGCCGGCAGCTTTCAGGGGACTCTTCTCTTGCTATCTACCTAAGGCAAGCTAAATAACTCCTTTCACAAAGACAATTAGAAACTTATGGATAATTATACATGAGCAATTTAGAAAATTTAGAAGAAATGAATAAATTCCTGTACACATGTAATGTACCAAGATTGATTCAGGAAGAAATATTAAACCTGAACTGACCAATAATGAGTAACAAGGTTGAAGCAATGACAAGAAGTCGCCCATCAAATAAAAGCCAAGCACCTGCTGAATTTACTACCGAATTCTACTGAAAAGGTAAAGAATAATTAATACCAGTTCTACTTAAACTGTGTCAAAAACTTGAAGAGGAAGGAATACTTCCAAACTCATTCTACAAGGCCTCCATCGGCCTGATACCAAAACCTGACAAACAAAAAACATAAAACAATAAACCAATATATCTGATAAACATGGATGCAAAAGTCCTCCAAAAAAAAAAAATACTAGCAAATTGAATTCAATGACACATTAAAAGATCATTCACTTTGATCAAGTGGGATTCGTTGCAGGGATCCAAAGATGGCACAACATATGCAAATGAATAAACGTGACATATCACATCAACAAAATCAAGAATAAAAACCAAATAATTATTTCGATTGATGCTGAAAAGCATTATATAACATTTGATATCCCTTAATAATGAAAACTCTCAACAAACAGTATAGAAGGAACAGACCTCAACACAATGAAGGCTATGTATGACAAACCCAAAGCTAATATACTGAATGGGGAAAAATTGAAAGCCTTTCCACTAAAATCTGCAAGACAAGGATGGTCTCACTTTCACCATTGTTATTCAACAACGAAGTCCTGGCCAGAGCAATTAGGGAAGAAAAAGAAATAAAAGGCATCCAAATTAGAAAGCAGGAGGTTCAATTATCCTTCTTTGAATAGGATATGATCTTATATTTGGCAAAACGTAAAGACTCCACCAAAATACTCTTAGAACTGATAAATTTAGCAATGTTGAAGGATACAAAATGAATATAAAATGTAGCATTTCTATATGCTAACAGTTATCTATCTGAAAAAAAAATCAAGAAAGATATCATGTTTACAATAGCTACAAAAAAACCTAAGAATCAGTTCAACCAAAGAAGTGAAAGATTTTTGCAATTTATACAATTTTAAAAAATTATAAAACATTGATGAAGGAAATTTAAGAGGGCACAAAAAATGAAAATCTATCCCATTCTCCTGAAGTGGAAGAATTAATATTGTTAAAATTTACTACCCAAAATTATCTACAAATTCAATACAATCTATATTAAAATACCAATAACATTCTTCAGGGAAATAAAGAGCAATTTTAAAATTTATATGAAACTACAAAAGACCCAATCAATATAAAAAGTAGCATTTCTATATGCTAACAGTGATCTATCTGAAAACAATCAAGAAAGCAATTCCATTTTCAATAATTTAAAAAAATCATATTGAAGAGATATGTGCACTCTTAGGTTTATTGCAGCACAGTAGCCAAAATAGGAAATCAATCTAAGTGCCCATCAGTAGACAAATGGATAAAGAAAATGTGGCATATATGCACAGTGGAATATTATTCAGCCATAAGAAATATTGAAATCCTGTCATTTACAGAAACATGAGTGGAACTGGAGGTCATTATGTTAAGCAAAATAAGCCAGGCACAGAAACCTAAATATTGCATATTCTCACTCATATCTAGGAGGTAAAAAAGTAAATCTTATGGAGGTTGAGAGTACATTGGTGGTATCAGAAGCTGTTAAGGAAAAGAGGTGGGGGAGGGATATGAAGAGAAGTTGTTTAATTGGTAAATACAGTTAGAAAGAACAAGTTCTAATATTCTACAGTATGGTAAGGAAATCATAGTTACCAATAATTTATTATGTATTTCAAAATAACAATAATGGAAGAATTGTAAATTTTCCATCACAAATGATAAATGTTTGAGGTAATATCCCAATGACCCTGATATGATCAATATACATTGCATATGTGTATCACATGTATCCCCCAAATATTTATGACTATGCTATAGTAATAGAAAATGTGAAATACAAAAAAAAAAGTCATAGGAAGTACCATAAGAAAGGACACACACAAAGGTCCTAATACACAAACACATACACACAGACACACACACACACGTGCACGCGCACAGAGATCCTAATAATACATGCGAACAGATAGTCTTGGGTGGAGGGCACAGGGAAGCTCATACACAGCCAAAATTGACTCGATGTTTTTCAAAAATATAATACATCGTCATTAACTATAGGGACCATGTTATACAATAAAGCTCTTGAACTTATTCCTCCCATTTAACTAATAATGATGTATCCTTTGATCAACATTTTTTCCAAACCTTTTCCTCCAATCACTCTAGCCTCTGGTACCCACTGTTTTACTTTGTACTTCTATGAGATCAACTTCTCTGGATGCCACATGTAAATGAGATCATCCAATATTTGTGTTTCTGTGCCTGGCTAATTTTACTTAACCTAATGCCCACCAAGTTCATTCACATTGTCTCAAACGACACAATTTATTCTTCTTTTTTTTCCCCCTATGGTGTAATAAGATTTTATTGTGTATGTATACTGCATTTTTAATTCATTCTTTTGTTGATGGACACTTAGATTAATTTCATATTTTGGCTGCTGTGAATAGTGTTGGAATGAACATGGGCATTCAGATACCTCTTTTTTGAAACAGAGTCTCGCTCTGTTGCCCAGACTGGAGTGCAGCTGTGGCGTGATCTCGGCTCACTGCAACTGCAATTTCCGCCTCCCGGTTCAAGCGACTCTCCTGCCTCAGCCTCCCAAGTAGCTGGGACTACAAGCGTGTGCCACAACACCCAGCTAACTTTTGTATTTTTAGTGGAGAGGTTTCACCACGTTGGCCAGGCTGGTCTCGAACTCCTGACCTCAAGTTATCCACCCACTTTGGCCTCCCAAAGTGCTGAGATTACAGGCATGAGCCCCCAGGGGTGCCAGGCCAGATACTGATTTTATTTTGTCTGTATACCCAGTAGTGGGATTGCTGGATTATATAGTATTTCTACTTTTTATCTTTTGAGAGTAGATGTTAACTGTTCTCAGCACACAAATAATAACCATGTGGGGTAATGCATTTTTAATTACTAAATTTAACCATTTTACAATATACATATACTTTAAAACATCCTGTTTTATACTCTAAGCAAAATTTTATCTTTCAGTTAAAACAAACAAAAACAAAATAGCATGAACCTGGAAACTACACATATACCCATCATCAGTAGAATGATCAAATAAATTATGGTATATTCATAAAATTGAAGACAAGAAAGTAACAGCTACAGTAGTAGGCAAGCACTTTCAGAAGTTTCAGTCTAACCTCAGATTATCTCAGTACTTAATATTTGATTGAGGTGATACCAAATGAAAGAAAAAAAAGTAAGCCAATAGTAGAAATTTAATTGGAAATATCATATTTTAATATTAAAAATAAACTTTAGACAGTCAACACATTAAAATTTTTTAAAATATACAAAATAAATTTTAAAATCTTAGAAAATAAATGAATACAAAATTTGTGGGAAGCAGCTAAATTTTTGCCTTGCAGGAAATTTATAATTTTAATTACATATACTAGAAAAGAAAACAAACCAATTATTTAAAGTCCCATTTCAATAAGATTAAAAACAGTAAAAAAAAAATAACAGAAAATATAAATACATATGCCAAAATAAAATAAATTGGAAAACAGAAAAATGAAAGCCCAAGTTGTTTTTTAAAAAAGTAATAAAATTGACAAAGCTTCAGCCTGATGGATTTGAAAATGTGAAAATACAAATCCTAATACCAATAATGAAAAAGATAATATAATTTCAATCCTTTCTCACATTATAAAAGATAATAGGATATTATAAAAAAATTTGTGAATACATATTAAAACTCGAAAAAATAGATATTATTTTTTAAAGAAACATCTTACCAAAACTAGTGTTAGAAGAAATTTTAAAATATGAGTAATCTTATAGTTGTTGACTTTTTAACTAAATACTCTCCTGGTCAAATTAGGTGGCTCACACGTGCAATCCCAGCATTTTTGGAAGTCAAAATGGGAGGACTGCTTTACGCCAGACAGTTCAAACCAGCCTTGGCAACATAGGGAGACCCCATCTCTAGAAAAAAAGAAATTAGCAAGGCATGGTGGCACACACCTATAGATACTTAGGAGGCCACCATGCTACAGCCTGGACAACAAAGAGAAACCCTGTCTCTAAAAAATATTGATTAAAAAATTCCCACAAGAAAACTACAAACATTTAAAGAAAAAGTAATACCAAACTTAAACTCTTTCACAGTTTTCAGGCTAGTATAACTCTGGTAGTAAGCCTGAGGCCATTACACAGAAAAGAAAATTAAAGAAAAATATACCCGTAAGCATGGATGCAAAAACTCATGAATAAAACATTAGCAAGTTGAATTTAGTCACAATAAATAGAATAAGTGGGAATTATTCCATGAATTCTAGGCTAGCTTATTATTTAATAATCAATCTCTCATAGGAACAAGTCAATACAAAAAAGATGTGTTGTAAATATTATATGGGAAAGAACAAATGTCACTAATATAGAAAAAATAACTATTGCTCAATAAACAAGTGCTTTAAATGATAAATCAATAAAGTGATATCAATAATTGTTAATTTTTATTTTATTTCACACCTAGTTAGAATCATAAAAGAGTTTATTCTCTGACAGAAATTGATAATCTAATTTAAAATCAATTTAGGGATCAAAAGAAACAGTTAAGAAATACAAGGACAGTTTGGAAGAAGGAGATAATAATGATCCACAATAAAAATATATCATTTAGATAAAATGAGAAAATTATATAGTAATGGAATAAAAATTGTTCGTTAGATTAATGAACTAGCTCATACATACTGAATTGGATACATGTATGTGTTCAAATTTAGCATATGATCAAGGTAGCCAATAAAATCAATGAGGAAAAGATGTATAATGAGAAGGAGTCATTACATTGTAGCGATTGACCATTTTATTGAGGTTGCTGGGGGAACAATTCAGATTTCTGCCTCATTCCATTACAGACATAAATTTCAAATCAAATAACAAAAAAAATTTAAGCAACAAATGGATGAAAGTATCACATTATGGAAAACTATGTTTAAAGTCTTACAGCAGGCTATTATTTCTTAAAAAAAAGAAGATATACATTATTGGTATACTGACAGTAGAAAATTTTATGGGTTTAAAGTATAAAGTTTAATAACAAAATTTGCTTGTAAAATTATTCATATTAACATATTGATAATAACATATAAACATATAAGCTAATGGACAATGTTCAGATTGACAGCCAAGTAAATTCAGATACTTAAGAAATGAAAATGTTGAATTTCTGTGATGAGCAAATAAATATATATTAAACTAATTATATAATATATTTTATATAGATTCACAAATAATTGAAATTTATCAGTATTATTTCTGGAAAAAATGATGTGATCATACATTGTTTTAGAAAGCAAAAATGGAAATAGGCCTTTGAAAGGCAATTTGGCAGTTTAGACTGAATTTTTATAGGCATAAATTTTCAAGACAAATTTAACTCTTCAATAGCAGCTAAATAATCTCTCGTGTAAATGAAGAAAAAATATAATTATGTTTTTAAGAGCAAAAACTAAGAAAATATATTAATCATTTATCAATATATAATTTTTAGGCAGTTGTATCATATGGGATACTAAAGAGTAGTTAAATAAAATGATGTAGAGCTACCTGTGTTGACATTAATATGAAAATATTCACAAGCCACATTTTCTAAACATTTTATATGAGTATAATAAATATTCTTTTATATTATTAATGTAAAACTGTTCCATTTGCATATATATATTTCAGTATAAGTACTTAGAAAATGATTTGGGAGAAGAAAAACTGAATTGCAAAGAACAGTTTTATAATTCAAGGCATGTATCAATTGAATATATTGATTTATGTATATTTAGAGAAGAAACAAAAATGTTGGTATGCAGAAGAATCTGTATTTCTATCAATCAGCTCTTCTTGAGATATAGGAGTCTATGAAGGCTCAGAATCTCAGGCATGGTCACCAGAAAAGCAAGAGAAGCATTATTTGAAGTGTTATGTCATCCTGAATTCAAATGATAATGGAATGCATTTTCCCATAGAAACATTATTAAATATGGTTCTCATGAAAATCACCTAAGTTAATGCATAATAGGTAGAGAGATGAATATGTGATCAATAAGTGATAGATAGCTAGGTAGGATGGATATGATTGTACTTTTATTTCATGCATGAAATTTTCTCTTTAAATACTTATTATTGCAAATTTAAAATAACACTTGAAATTCACTGAATTTTAAGTTAGGGAAAGTATGTGGTTGTTAAAATCTATTTTTCTATTTGAAGGCTATTTGAAGGGCGTGAAAATCAGCCAGCATTTATAGAAGTTCACCAAGTGGTTGTACCTTAGTTAACATTTTAGTTCTCGTTTATAACATGTATTTACATAGCTCATTACTGTTGAGCTCACTAGAACTATATAATATTAATGAAGTTTGTTTCAATAGGCCAAAGTGAGAAACTCCAATTTTTCTATAAATTTTTAATTAATTTGGAAGTCTTAAGTTTTCAGTGAGGCCAACAGATGTAAATTAAATATTAAAAATGGTAGAATGAGAATAGAAATATGACCAAGAATCCTACGCCCACAAATTTTAACTATAGTTCTCAAAAAGCATCTGGAACTTTTTTTTAAATAGAGGAGTGACTTTTAAACAGAGCTGCACATTAATATCAGCTATGAAATTACAAATTCCCCCTCTCATCTCTGCATTTAGTGGATTCAGAAAGGAGACTGGATATGTATAATTATGGAGATTTATATATTTATGATGCACTTATGCATTTAGAAAAAGGCATTGTGCATACAAATGAGTGTTAAGACAAACTGTGTTTAAATAATGATGATACTTTATCGCTAATGTTAATAGCATATTCAGTACTAATTTAGCAGTTATGATGCTATAGTATAGTGTCAGTCAACGTTGTCAATAATAATAACTGCTTAATGTTTACAGCAAAATATTGGTAAAATGTATTTGTTCTATTCATTAGTAGACTGTTTTCAGAAATTTACTTATATTTACCATTGACATATTTTCATAAAGCTTATGTATTAATTAATTGGTTCAATACAAAAATTTGAATGCTATGTTCCTTCTATTATGTGTTGATTGCAGCAATTTAAGACAGTATGACCCCCGCCCTCAGAGAAAGCGTATTTAATAAAAACAGACACAACAAAATAATAAGACATCAATTACTTATATATACTAATGAAAAACCTACAAGGGAAATTCTAGGCTCCTAAGTGAATTTAATAGACTTATATAATTTAGGCTAAAGAATCCCAGACTTTTTCATTGTGAAGTAATATTTTAATTTAACTCTGAAGTATGAATAAAATATAACCTTTGGTGAAGGAGTGGTCACGTACTATTGTGTTCTCAGAAAGATGTTGTATAAGTGTTATAGGACTTCCCTGTCTACAATTGAGCAAACAAACCAGTTTCTGTTGTCAATGCCAAGATAAGCTTTGACCAGACACCCTCCCCCTTTCCCAATATTGGCCATTTGAAAGAAACATCTGACAGAGACTCAGAGCTCATCTGCCCTGGCCAATTAGGACTCAATGGTATCAACTCATTAGAGCTCAGGTGTACCAACCAATCAGAACTAAGTAAGTTTCAATCCTTCATTGGCATTAATGGGCCTGATTAGGAACTTGGGCAGGAACCTTTGCCATAAAACCTGAATCATCTTTTTGTTGCCTGGAACACAACTTTGATTAGAACAGAAGGCTGTCTATCCCTGCTTTGCAAACTACTCAAAGGAATAAAATTTCCCTCCAAATTTATTTTCAAAAACCTTTTCTTCACAATCAACAAATATGGAAATAAATAAGAAAGGAAGGAAGGGAGGGAGAGAGAGGAAAGGAGGAAAGAAGGAAGGAAAGAAGAAAAGAAAGGAAGGAAGAGAGGGAGGAAGGGAGGGAGGAAGAAATAGGGGAAAATTTTTTTTAATACACAGGAAAAAGGGCTGTCATCCAAAATTATAATGTGTTATTTGTATATGTCATATAATGAAAAAGTAGATGAAAGTGAAAGAGATACTGAAACAGGACACATACTTTTGCAGATCTTAAGCTGTAAATCCAATCACTGTATAGTTAAATATCTTCCCAAAGATTATTGGTTAGAACAGTAAAATGAGGGTCCTAGACAAAGTCTAATGCAAAGATCTAGTTTTACATGAGTACATGCCTAGGAAGGAGAGATGGTAAACCATGTTGATAGCCGATTCAGACTTCCAGTCTTTTCTTAAACTGAAAAAAGAGGCGAGGAGGCACCAAGGGCCAGATAATGACATCAAATGCCTCTGGGTACAAGAGCTTTTCCAGCCATGCTGAATACTGGGGCACTAAAAATTAAATGAAGATGTCTTTGTAGGACAAAGGAAATCATATTTAGTGAGAGGTTGCTGGATACAACAAATATGAATTGAAACTGTGATTTATCCTCCCACTCTTCGTCATAGTAGATTTCAGGATAATTGCTCCCATTTAAAAAGTCAGTAATAATGACAAAAGAACTTCAGAAAGTGTATGCATTAATGTTGGAGGGAAAAAGGTAAGAACAAGCACTGCAAATGACAGGTGAAAAATAAATTTCTCAAGATGAATTTCAGTGAAATAGGAGCAGTGTTCAGAGAAAATATCTCCATAATTTCAAATAAATTTTAGGCTTTAAAAATATTTCAAAGAAGAGTACAGAAACTCAAAATGAGATCGTGAGGGGAAAAAAACAGAGATTAAAAAATGCAATGGTTAAAATATAAACTTGATATGAAAATAAAAATGCAGTTAAGTGTTGAATGGTAGATTAGAGGCAATAAAGCACATATGACTATAAGTACGGCCTAGTGCATTATGGAAAAGACAGAGGAAATCATAAGATTTTAAGTGGAGAGGAAAGACCCAAATAATAATTATGGGGTAGATCATAGATATTGAGGAATATTGGATATAAAATAATGTGAACCTGAAGCTCTGGAAGAGGAAAGGAATGATAACTGAAAATGATACGTATGTTTAAAGATATAATACAATAATGTTAGAGAGAATGATTAAGATCCTCCAAAAATCCTTTTCTCAATAAAAGCAAGTAAAACTGGCAAAACTCTCATAATGAAGTTTTCAAAATTCATGAAGTTAATTAAAATTTGCAATAACCTTGAGAGTGTTTATTCAAGAAAATGGCTAACTTGTAAAAATAGTGAGGTCTGTGGCATTGCAACTTTTTTATGCCATCCCCTCTGTCCTCCGTTCTGGGATAACTTTGAAAACCAACAGCCCACGATAATGATAGCATCCAGGAAGCTTATGTAGGAAGTAGAAAATGGTTGGAGCTCCTTTAAAGCCTCATTCTCAGAGAGTGGTCATTATTTGAGCTGTCTGTCACTTCCTTGGATAACTCCACAAACCAGCCTTGTGATTATTTGACCTGACTCAGTCATAATCGAGTGTGAACAAGTAGTCTTTACCTAAGGTGTGTTTGCTGAAAACAAGCAGTGGCAATTGGATAAACTGCAACTGCCTGAGATGGAGATAAAAGTTGGGGTAAATTTCAGGCTGATAGATATTTAAAATAAAAAACTGGGGAAGGAGCTGTCCATAGGGGGGTTGAAAAGCTTCAACATATTCCTGGAAATCTAAAGGGCCGCATGTGCAAGTCTGTCTGCATGTGCAGTCATGTGGCTTAATGTAAGTAAGAAGTAAAATGTAACAAGAGCTGTAAATTGCTTGCCTAAACATTGACAGTGTGTCCCCAAATGCATAGAATCCCTTGGCAAATGCTAAAAGACATATTTATACCAGGCATTTAAGGTACTATCTATTCAATCATTAGCTGATGACAAAGCTAACTGAGATGAAATTGCAGTAGCTACATCCAACAAAGAATACAGACTTGACAAAATTAATTCAAGAAATAAATGAAAAAAAAACCAGCAAGAACAAAAAAAATTACTGGGGATAGAAGAGAATCTGATTACAAAATTTGCCATTATATATTATTCAATATTTTAAATTTTTAACGAAGAATGTATGAGACATGCAAATAAATAAGAAATATGGCTCATATACAGGAAAAAGTAAGATCAATAGAAACTGCACTACAGAAAACAAAAATATTGGAATTATAGAGAAAACATAAAGTTTGCTATCTAAAGAATGTTCAGAGAACTAAAAAAAATCTTGTCTAAAGAACTATTGGAAATATGAGAATAATACATCATCAAATAAAGGAAAATATCAAGAAAGATATATAAATTATTTAAAAGTTTATAATACAGTCTATAGGGTCAAAACACACAATAATAATTAAAATAAATTCACAGGGGGCACTCAACAGAAGATTTGAGCTTTCAGAAGAATGAATGCTTGACCTTGAAGATAGCTCAATTTATATAACCAGTCTGAGGTACTGAGAGAGAAAAGAATGAAAAAAAGTCTCAGAGACCTGTGAGATACCATGATACATATATATACATAATGAGAGTCACAGAAGGAGAAAGAGAAGGAGCAGAAGGAGCAGAGAGAAGAGGGGAGGAAAAGGGGTAGAAAGAATATTTGAAAAATTAATGTCTGAAAACTTCCCAAATTTTGATAAAAATTGTTGATCTACATGTCCAGAAACTCAGTAAAACCCAAAAGGAATAAACTCAAAAATCCAGACGTAGACATATTATAAACTATCAAAACCCAAAGTTGGAAAGAACCCTTTCTAATTTATGTCATTTTTATTCAAACATTTTCATTATATATAAATACATATAATTATTCCATGTTTAAAATTTTCAACAAAAACATGATACATGGCAAAAAAATTTTTAAAAATGTCTTATATACAGGAAAAAGTAAGGTCTATAGAAACTACTCTACAGGAAGCACAAATTTTGGACTTATAGCAAATAACACGAAGTTGGCAGTTTAAAGTATGTTCAAAGAATTAAAGAAAATCTTGTCTAAAGAATATGAGAAATTATATTCTATAATATATAAATATAATACATATAATATAAAATATATAAAAATGTATTTTATATAATATATAATAAAAATTGTACCTATATATTAATATATAAATAATATATAATGTATTATGTATATTTATATAGATATAATTCTCATAATTTTTTAGACAAGATTTCATATATGCATTCCAAAATTTTATGTATACGTTCAAATTGTATACATATATCAAAACATAACATTGTACCTATAGGTACAGTGTAACAATATGTACCCATAAGTACAATGTGATGTTTTGATATATGTACTCAATTTGAAATGATTAAATAAAAAAAAGCCATATCTATCACCTCACCCATCCTTTTTTTTTTGAGACATTTGAAATTTGCTGTCAGCAATTTTGAAATATTAGATACATTATTATTAACTGTGGTCACCTTGCTGTGTGGTAGATTTCAAAAACTTCTTTCATCTGTTTAATTAAAACATTATGTCCTTTGACAAACATTTCCTCTGCCAACCCTTGGCCTCTAATAACCAACATTCTCCTTCCTTCATTGATGAGTGTGACTTTTTTAGATTCACCATAAAAAGGAAATCATGCAATATTTGACATTTTGTGCCTGGCTTACATCACTCAGCAAAATGTCTTCCAGGTTTATTTGTGCTATTGCCAAGGACAGCATTGTCTTTTTTTTTTTTTTTTAAGGCTGAATGGCTTTCCCTTGTGCTTATATCTAATATTTTCTTTATCTGTTCATCTGCATAGACCCTTAGGTTTATTCTACATCTTGGCTATTGTGAATAACACTTCAGTGAATATGAATGCAGACATGTCTTCAATATATTGATTTCAGTTCCATTAGATATATACCCAGAAGTAGGATTGCTAGATCATATGGTAGTTCTCTTGTTCCTCTAGCTGTCTATAATTTCTACAAGATGTTGAGACAACTTTATACCATTTTTCATGGCTGTACTAACTTACATTTCCACTAACAGTGTTCAAAGATTCTGTTTTCTCCACATCATTACCAACATTTTTTAGTTCATCTTTTTTATCATAGTCATTCTAATAGGTGTAAAGTAATATCTCATTGTAGATTTAATTTTAATTTACCTAAAAATTAGAGATATTCAACAAATTTTTATGACTCTATTGGCCATTTGTATATCTTAAGAAACATCTGTTCAGGCTCTTTGCTCAGTTTTTAGTTGGTTATTTGTTTTCTTATTATTGAGTTGTTTGAGTTCCTTATGTATTTAGGATATTAATCCCTTATCAAATGTATGGTTTTAAAATATTTTCTTCCACTCTATGGGTTATGTATTCACTCTGTTGGTTCCTTTGTTATGAAAAAGTTGTTTTTAGTTTGATGCAATCATTTTATGTATTTTTACTGTTGTTACCTGGGCTTTCAAGGTCATATCCAAAAAGTTACTAACCAAAACAATGACATGAAATATTTTTTGATGTTTTCTTCTAGTACTTTTATATATTTCTGGGTTTTACTTTAAATCCCTAAACCATTTTGTGTTTATTTTTGTATATGATGTGGGAGGAGAATACAGTTTCATTCTTCTGCTTATGGATATCCACTTTTCCCAACAGTATCTATTGATGAGACTATCCTTTTCCCATTGTGTATTTTTGGGATTTTTGCTGCCAATCAAATAACCATAAAGGTGTGAGTTTATTTATGGGCTTTCCACTCTATTCCATCAGTCCATGGGTCTATTTCTATGCCAGTACTATTGTCTTTTGATCACAATTGCTTTAAAGTATGTTTTCTAATCATGTTTTTTTTTCTTTTTGCTTAACATTGCTTTGACTATTCAGGATCTTTTGTGGTTCCATATGTAATTTAGAATTTTTTTCTATTTCTGTAAAAATTACCATTGGGATTGTGTAGGGATTCATTGCATCTATAGATTTCTTCAAATAGTATGGACACTGTCAAAATTAATTATTCCAGTCCATAAACATAAGTTATCTTTCTATTTATTTGTGTTGTCATCAATTTATTTCATCAGTGTTTTATATTTTTCAGTATACAGATATTTCACCTCCTTGGTTAAATTTATGCCTAAGTATTTTTGTTGCTGCTGCTACTGTAAATGGGATTGTGTCCTCAATTTCTCTTTCAGAGTTCATTGTTAGTGCATACAAGTGCTACTGATTGCTGCATGTTGATTTTGTATCCTGCAAATTTACTGTATTTATTTATTAGTTTTAATTTTTTGGTGGGATCCTTAAGGTTTTCTATTTATAAGATCACCTTGTCAGCATACAGTTTCACCTTGTCCTTTCCTATTAGGATGCATTTTATTTCTTTATCTTCCCTAATTGCTCTGTCTAGTACTTCCAGTACTATGTTGAAAAGAAACAGTGAGAATGGGCATCCTCATTTTGTTTTTGATAATAAAGGAAAAGATTTCAACTTTTAACCATTGATTTATAATGTTAGCTGTCAGCTTATCATATGTGGCCTTTATTGTGTTGAGGTGCATTCCCTCTGTAACTAATCTGTTGAGAGATTTTACCAAGAACAGTTGCGGAATTTTGTCAAATGCTTTTTTTTTTGCACTTATTAAGATGATTATGTATTTTTGGTCATTTATTCTGTTATTGTGGTGTGCCACAATTACGGATTTGCATATGTTGAACCATTCTTGCACCTCAGAGATAAATCCCACTTGCTCATAGTGCATAATTCTTTCAATGGGTTGTTGAATTAGGTTTGCTCATATTTTGTTGAGGATGTTTTCATCTATGTTCATTAGTGATATTGGCCTGTAATTTTCATTTCTTGTACTGCTCCTGTCTGTCTTTGGTATGTGGGTAATACATGCCTTAAAAATGAGTTTGGAAGTATTCCATCTACTTGAAATTTTAGGAAGAGTTTGAGAAAGATTATATTAGCTTTTCTTAAATGTTTGGTAAAATTTAGCAGAGAAGCCATTATGTCTCAGGCTGTTCATTGATGGGGGACCTCTTATTACTGGCTCAATCTCCTTAGCCATTATTGGTCTATTCAGATTTTTAATTTTTTTCATGATTTAGTCTCAGTAAGCTGTATCTAATCAGAAATTTATATATATCTTCTAGGTTATCCAGGTTGTTGGTATGTAATTATTCCTAGTATTATTAGAATTTTTTTATGTTTCTATCATATCAGTTGTAATTTTTCTTATTTTATTTCTGATTTTATCTATTTGTATCTTCTATTTTTTCTCAATTGTTCTTTTGAAGAGTGTTTCAATTTTATCTTTCCAAAAACCTCTTAGTTTTGTTGATTTTTAAAATTATTTTCCTAGTTTCTAAATTATTCATTTTTGGTCTTTGTTATTTACTTCCTTCTAACTTTGGTCTTAGTTTGTTTTTCCTTCATTTCTCAGATATATAATGTTAGATTGTTTACTTAAGATCCTTCTTTTTCACTGATACAGGCATTTTTTTGCTACAAGTTTCACTCTTAGAGCTGCTTTTGCTGCATCTCATATGTTTTGGTATGCTGTATTACCATTTTCATTTGTCTCAAGGTATTCTTTGATTTTCCTTTTAATTTATTCCATAACCTACTGGTTGTTTAGGAGCATGTTGTTTAATTTCAACATATTTTTAAAATTTTCAGGATAACTTCCATTGTTGATTTCTAGTTTCTTGTTATTGTGATTTAAAAAAAAAACCTTGATATAATTTAAATCTTCCAGAGAGAGAATCTTTTTTTCTTTTTGAGATGCAGCAGAGAGAGAATCTGAAAAGCAGCAAGGTCAAATAATCTTTTTAAATATATGATGGGTTAAAAATAAGATGAACAGCCAATTTCTAATTGAAAACCATGGAGAAGAGAAGGCAGTCACATGACATACTCAAAGTGCTGAGGAAACAGCTGTAGACCAAGAATTTGATATGCACCAAAACAAACTTTCAAAATTAAAGGATACATTAAGACAATCCCAGAAAAACAAAAACAGAGATGATCTGTTGCTACCAGAAAAGCCTTACAAGACGTAGTAATGGAAGTCCTCCAGGCTGAAATGAAAGGACACCAAACAAACTCAAAATTACATGAAGAAATGTAAAGCACAAGTTAAATATAACTGCATACATAAAGTATAATATAATACTGTTTTTTGTTTGTTTGTAACTCTTTTCTGTCCCACCTATGTTGAAAGACCTGTGCATAAAGCAATGGCTTGATTGTAAAAATGTGTTGCTGAACATGTGAAGTATTAAGATGTATTTTATGACAATAACAGCACAAAGAAGAGGGGGAAATGAGCTATATAGGAGCAAAGCATATTTATATTATTGAAATTTAATTGCAATATATCTAAACTAAATTTCTACGAAATAAAATATTAATTCTAATAAAAATACTATGATATACTATGGAAACACAAAAATATTTTTAAAAATTGCCAAGAAATTGAAATGACACACTGTAAAATATCTATACCAAAAGAGAAGGTGGTGGCCGGGCACGGTGGCCCATGACTGTAATCCCAGCACTTTGGGAGGCTGAGGGTGGTGGATCATTTGAAGTCAGGAGTTTAAGACCAGTCTGGCCAGCATGGTGGAACCCCATCTCTGCTAAAAATGCAAAAGTTAGCCAGGTGGCAGTGGCACACACCTGTAATCCCAGCTACTCAGGAGGCTGAGGCTGGAGAATCACTTGAACCTGAGCAGTGGAAGTTGCAGTGAGCCGATATCGTGTTTCAATCTGGGAGACAGAGTAAGACCCTGTCCAAAAAAAAAAAAAAAAGAAAGAAAAAGAAAAAGAAGGTGGTATTACTGTAAGAACAACAAATACAGAAGACAGGAAGAAAAGAATAATAGTATAATGGCAGAAGTGAACTTCACTTTATATCAAATGCAAATGGAGTAAACACTCTGAAAAAGGCAGAGATTGACTGACTGAATTTAAATAATGATTCAACTATATGACTATATTCTGCCAGTAAAAAAACACAATTTAGGTTCAAAGACACAAACAGACTGAAAATAAAGTATAGAAAAAGATATAAAGTGCAAACCATAACCTCTCAAAAAAGCCTGAGTAGCTATGTTAATTTAATATCAGACAAAATGGACACTGAAACAAAAATCATTACTGTAAGATAAAAGGATATTTTTTAAATGGTGAAAGTATAAATCAAGAATATTTACTATTTACCATTTTATTTTTTTAATTCATTTTTAATTTTTCCTTTCAAATTTTATTATAGGTTCAGAGGGTTCATGTGCAGATTTGTTACATGGTTAAATTGGATGTCACTGGGGTTTGGTGTACAAATTACTTCATCACCTAGGTAGTGAACATTATACCTGATGTTTTGTAGAGTCTCACCTTCATCCCATGCTCCATCCTCAACTAGGCCCAATGTCTATTGTTTCATTCTTTGTGCATATGAATACTCAGTTTTTAGGTCCCACTTACAAGTGAGAATATGCAGTATTTGGTTTTCTGTTCTTTATTAATTCGCCTAGGATAATGATCTCCAGCTGTGTCCATGGTACTGCAAAGGCGTGATTTCGCTCTTTTTGATGGTGTGTGGTATTTTATGGTGTACGTATACCATATTTTCTCTATCTAGTCCACTGTTAATGGACATTTAGATTTATTCCCTGTCTACATTAGTCAGGGTTATCTAGACGGACAGAACTAACAGGATATATATATATATATGTATATATATATATATATATTCATATGTGTGTGTATATATAAATATATATATGGAGTTTATTAACGCACATAAACACAAAGTCTTACAATAGGCCATCTGAAAGCTGAGGAGTAAGGAAGCCAGTCCAAGTCCCAAAGCTGAAGAACTTGGAATCTAATGTTTGAGGACAGGAAGCATAGAGCATAAGATAAATATGTGGGCTGGGAAGCTAAGCCAGTGTAGCCTTTTTATGTTTTTCTGCCTGTTTTATATCCTGGCCACAATGGCAGCTGATTAGATGGTGCCCAACCAAATTAAGGATGAGTCTGCCTTGCCCAGCCCACTGACGCAAATGTTAATCTCCTTTGGCAACACCCTCACAGACCTACCCAGGATCAACACTTTGCATCCTTCAATCCAATCAAGTTGAAACTCAGTATTAACCATCACAACGTCTTTGCTATTGTAGATAGTACTGAGACAAACATAGATATGCATATGTCTTTATGGTAGAATGATTTATTTTCTTTTGGGTACATACCTAGTAATGGGATTCCTGGGTTGAATGGTAGTTCTATTTTAAGTTATTTGAGAAATCTCTAAACTGCTTTCCTCAGTGGCTGAACTAATTTACATTCCCACCAACAGTGTGTAAGTGTTCCCTTTCTCAGCAGCTGCAACAGCATCTGTCATTTTTGTACTTTTTAATAATAGTGATTCTGACTCTTCTGAGATGGTAGCTCATTGTGGTTTTGACTTGCATCTCTCTAATAATTATTAGATGATTAGTGATGTTGAGCATTTGTCTATATGCTTGTTGGTTGCATATATGGTCTTCTTTTGAGAAGTGTTTGTTCATGTCCTTTGCCCAGTTTTTAATGGAGTTGTTTGGTTTTGGCTTATTGGTTTAAGTTCCTTATAGATTCTGGATATTAATCCTTTGTCAGATGCATAGTTTGCACTTATTTTCTCACATTCTGTAGGTTGTCTATATATTGTGCTGATAGTTTCTTTTGCTGTGCAGAAGTTCATTAGTTTAATTAGGCTCCACTTGTCAACCATTTTGTTTTTGTTGCAATTGCTTTTGGCATCTTGGTCATGGAATCTTTGCCCATTCCTAAGTCCAGAATTGTATTTCCTAGGTTATCCTCCAGGGATTTTTAATTTTCTGTTTTACATTGTATTTCATCCATCTTGAATTGATTTTTGTATATCGTGAAATGGAGAGGTCCTGCTTCAATCTTCTGAAGATGATTATCTAGTTATCCCAGTATCACTTATTGAATAGGGAGTCGTTTCCTTACTGCTTGTTTTTGTCTGCTTTGTCAAAGATCAGAGTGTTGTATATGTGTGGCTTTATTTCTTGCTTCTCTAATTTGTTCTGTTGGTCTATGTGTCTGATTTTGTACCAGTACCATACTGTTTTTTTATTATTGTAGCCTTGTAGTGTTGTTTGATGTTGGGAGGCAATTGAAGTCAGGTGGTCTGTCTTTGTTCTTATTTCTTAGAATTTCTTTGGCTATTCAGGCTCTTTTTTTTTTTTGGTTATGTATGAATTTTAGAGCAGTTTTTTCTAATTCTGTGAAAAATGTAATTGGTAATTTTATAGAAATAGTATTGAATCTGTACATTGCTTTGGGCAATATGACCATTTTAAAGATATGGATTCTTCCTCTTTATGAGCATGAAATATTTTTCCATTTGTTTGTGTTGTCTCTGATTTCTTTCAGCAGTGTTTTGTAGTTCTCATTGTAGTAATCTTACTTCCCTGTTTAGCTTAATTCCTAGATATTTTATTTTTTTTGTGGCTATTGTAAATGGTATTTCATTCTTGATTTTGCCCTCAGCTTGGACATTATTGGTGTGTAAAAATGTTGCTGATTTTTGTACATTGATTTTGTATACAGAAACTTTCCTGAACTTGTTTATCAGAGCTAGGCTCCTTTGAGCAGAGAGTATGAGGTTTTCTAGGCTTTTCTTTTTTTCTACTTCCTCTAGGTGTGAAGCCGAGTTTTTAATTTAAGACCTTTCTACCTTTCTGGTGTGGGTGTTTATTGCTGCTAACTTTCCTCTTCATACTGCTTTAGCTGTGTCCCAGAGATTCTGGTGTGTTGTATCTTGGTTTTCATTAGTTTAAAATAATTGTTTTGATTTCTACCTTAAGTTCATTGTTTACTCAGAAGTCATTCAGGAACAGATTGTTTAATTTCCATGCAATTGTATGGTCTTGAGAGATCTTCTTGGTATTGATTTTGATTTGTATTGCACTGTGGTATGAGACTACAGTTGGTATGATTTTGGTATTTTTATTTGTTGAGAATTTCTTTATGGCCAAGCATGTGATTGATTTTAGAGAATGTCCAATGTGCAGACAGGAAGAATGTATAATCTGTTGGTTTTGGGTGGAGTGTTCTGTAGAAGTCTGCTAGGTCCATTTGGTGAAGTGTTGGGTTAAAGCCTCAAATGTATTTGCTAGTTTTCTGCCTTGATAATTTGTCAAATACTCTTTTGGGGTGTTGAAGTCTCCCACTTTTACTGTGTGTTTATCTAATTCCCTTCACAGGTCTCTAAGAACTCATTTTATTAATCAAGGTGCTCCAATGTTGACAGTATATATACATAGGATAGTTAAGTCTTATTGTTGAAGTGAACACTTTAATTATTATGTAATGCCAATATTTGTCCCTTTTTAAAATTAAAGTCTGTTTTGTTTTAAGTAATACTAGTAACCCCAGATCTTTTATGTTTTCTGTTTTCTTGGTAGATCTTTCTCCATCCCCTTACTTTGAAGCTATGGGTGTCATTGCATGTGAGATGTGTCTCTTAAAGATATCATATAGTTGTGTCTTGCGTCTTTATCTAACTTGCTCCTCTGTGCCTTTTAAGTGGGGCATTTCGCCTTTTTATGTTTGATGTTAATATCGATAGGTGTGGATTTGATCCTACCGTCACGTTGTTAGCTGGTTGTTATGTAGACTTTTTTGTGTAGTCGTTTTATAGTGTAAATTATCGATGTACTTAAGTGGGTTTTTGTGGTTGCTGGTAATTGTCTTTTGTTTCCATGTGTAGCACTCCCATAAGGACCTCTTGTAAGGCAGCCATGGTGGTTACATAGACTCCTAGCCTTTGCTTCTCTGAAAAGGATTTGATTTCTCCTTCACATATGAAGCTTAGTCTGGCAGGATACAAAATTCTTGAATACTTTTTTTTTTATTTAAGGATGTTGAATATAGGTCCCCAATCTCTTCTGGCTTATATAGTTTCTGCTGACAGGTCTGCTGTTAACCTGATATGGTTTCCTTTGTAGGTTACTTCCCCTTCTCTCTAGCTGTGTTAATATTTTTTCATTCATCTTGACTTTGGCAAATTGGATGATTATGTGTCTCGGGGATTGTCACCTTGCATACTATCTTGCAGGGGTTCTCTAAATTCTCTGAATTTGAATTGTTAACCTCTCTAATGAGGTTGGGACATTTTCCATGGGCAATATCCTCAAATACATTTTCCAAGTTCCTTGCTCTCTCTCTCTCTTTAAGGGATGCCAATGAGTCATCATTTTGGACTCTGTATAATCCTATATTTCTTAGAGGGTTTGTTCATTTAAAAAATGTTTTATCTTTATTTTTGTCTGAGTTGATTCAAAGAACTGGTCTTTGAGCTCTGAGATTCTTTCCTCCACTTGGTCTGTTCTGCTGTTAATACCTCCAATTGTACTATTACATTCATGTGAGGTTTTCAGTTTTGTCAGATCAGTTTGTTTCTTTCTGAAAATGACTATTTCATCTTCCAGCTCTTGAAATGTTTTACTGGAATCCTTTGATTCCTTGAATTGAGTTTCAACTTTCTCTTGACTTTCAATGACTTCCTTCCCATTCAGATTCTGATTTTGTTTTTTCACTTTTATTTTCAGGTCAGGTTTGTTACACAGGTAAACTTGTGTCATGGAGGTTTTTAGTACAGGTTATTTTATCATTCAGGTATTAAGCCTAGTACCCATTAATTGTTTTTCTTTATCTTATTTTTCTACCCACCAGACTTGCCTTACAAGAGACCCTGAACTTTAACTGATTCTAATTTCTATGTCTGTTATTTCAGCAATTTTATTCTGCTCAAGAACCATTGCTGGGGAACTAATGCAGTTATTTGATGGTAAGAAGATACTCTGGCTTTTTAGAGTTGTAAGACATTTTGGACTGGTTCTTTCTCATCTGTGTGAGCTAATGTTTCTTTAATCTTTGAATTTATTCTTTAGACAGAACTTTTTGTTTTGATATTATTTGATGCTCTTAAGAGGCTTACTACGGTGAAAGTTGGGTTTAGTCAACTGGCTTTATTTCTGGATAATTTTGCAGGGCCAAGGCACAGCTCAGCACTCTTGGGCTAAATACTGTAACCCTGGAGGATTGGATCAGACCCATGGCTTTGTTCTCTGGCTTCTTGAGGTTAAGCATCTGCTGTGGTGGAAGGGCCGAGGTGTTCCTGTCTTCTGGCAAAAGCACTACAACACGGGGTGACAGCAAAAGCACTCGATCTGGGTGATGGCAGTGGGATCAGCATGTGTACATTAGCAGCAGCAAGGTGGTGGTGGTATCCACACATGCACATGCCAGATATATAATTTGTAAGCTATAAATGTACTTAACACCAGAGACCCAAAATATGTGAAGAAAAGACACATAATTGAAGAGAGAAATAGACAATTAGATATAATTCAATACTCCACATTCAATAGCGAATAGAATAACTAGGCAGATCAATAACAAAATAGAATACATGAATAACACAACAACAGTATAACATAATGAAACCTACTATACACATAAAGAACACTCCACACAACAACCGAGAATACACATTATTCTCAAGTGTATGTGGAACTTTCTCCAGGATATACTGTATGATAGGTTATAAAACATACCTCAAGGGTTTTTTTTAATGATATAATACAAAATGCTTTCTCAGACTACAATGAAAGAAAGTTAGAAAGTGATAATAGGAGAAAATTTTGGAAATTCACAATTATGTGGAAATTTATAAGATAATTGGTCAAAGAGGAAGTCACAATGGAAGTCAGAAAACACCTTGGGAAAAATGAATACCGAATCACAACACACTAAAATTTGGGGGATGCAGCTAAAGCAGTGCTTAGAGGGAAATGTATTTGTATCTGGCTATCTTAAAGGAAATAAATATTTCAAATCAACACTATAAGTTTTCACCTTATAAAATTAGAAAAAGTAGAGCTAACCACATCCAAAATAAATGAAAGGAAATAGTGTACATTAGAACAAAAAATGAAATAAAGAATAGAAAATTCAATAAAGTTATCAATAAAACCAAAAGTTACTTCTTAGAAAATATAAACCTTTAATTGACTGATAGAGAGAAAAACACACATATTTGAACAAATAGTATAACTTGATTGCAGATATATGTATCGCTGTATCTTTGGTGGTAAGTTGAGGCAGTATATGTCTGATCACTCTGGATATCTGTGTAAAATAAAATGCTAGGTGGAGATGAGAATGATATATGGATTTTTTTATCAGTATAAAACTTCCTTAGTATGTACATGGAGAAATCAGGTATTTGAGTTTTTCCCAAAGTTCTCTCTCTCTTTTTCTTTCTATAAGGTGAGATAAAAGAAGTGATGGAGTAGGCTGAGCATGGTGGTTCACCCCTGTAATCCCAACACTGTGGGAGGCTGAGGTGGGCAGATCATGAGGTCAAGAGATTGAGACCATCCTGTCCAACATGGTGAAACCCCTTCTCTACTAAAAATACAAAAATTAGCTGTGCATGGTGGCGTGCCCCTGTAGTCCCAGCTACTCAGGTAGCTGAGGCAGGAGAATCACTTGAATCCGGAAGGTGGAGGTTGCAGTGAGCCGAGATCACTGTCACTGCACTCCAGCCTGGCGACAGAGCGAGACTCCGTCAAAAAAAAAAAAAAAAAAAAGGAGTGATGGAGTGTTGTTATTAAGAAAGTTAGGCTTCAGGATATTGATTAACTTGTGTAAGGAGAAATAGCTAATAAGTAACAGAGCTAACATGTAAATCTAGAGACCATCTGACAAAAAGAAAAATTCCATAAACATTTTGCCACTATTGCTCCCACAGGAAAAGTGACATGGCTTAACATGACAGCTACTGCTCAAATTTCATCATATTTCTTGCTGTATTTCCAAACACAGGTAGGTGATTGTTTTGATAGCATCTTTCAACCTGAGTGTAGAAAACACTTATCTTTATGATGGAGCCAATACAGTGATTCATCCATGCTTGTCCAAGGCCACTTGAGAGTCATGATGCAGAACTCTAAAGCATAAAAGTAATTTTTTGAGCAACAAAGCAAAAGTAAATGAATAAGTATACTACACAGGAGTGCTAAAAGATCAGGGACAGCAGATGTGCACAATAGACTATTAAATTTACCTTTGGCATTATAAAATATACTGTAACAGATACAGTGTGCATGATTTTAATTGAATAACACAGTAAAAATTAACACTATATGAAACCAGATCCATCTTCTAATATAGCCATTATGAGTGTGTTTGTATTTTATATTATTTTCTGAAATCAATTTGCAACAATAAAGTAGTGAGCAAGATTAGCAGCTTTAGTTATTGAGTAGGGATGGTTTATAATCCATACATAAAATGTTTTTCTCAGCTTATTAAGTTTTGCATTAAAATAATCAGTAAACAATGGAATTTTTGCAATAAACTATTTTGACATAGTGATAGCCGCAATATAAGTATAAATCAATTCTGCAAGCCCTGCTAAAAGAGGCTGAAGAGAAAGGATTTACAGCTTGCCTGTGCAATTATTTATGGGTGAATTGTTTATGTTTCAGTGAAGAAAATAACAAATATTTCAGCAGGAAACTGGATCTATTTCTATTTTTATCCCCCTATTTTAACCAGAGCCTAGAGAATTGTTTGAACCAACATTTTCATAGAAAACAAACAAACAAACTTTACTAAATATGCACTGCAGGAGTAAATTAGAAGTATACATGATCAGTTTGATGCAAAAACCTCTGAGCTTCTAAATGCATAGATTTCTGCATTATTTCTCTTTCTTTTTAGAATTAAAAGTCAATAGAGGACTATGGCAGATTGGAATGGAATAAAATTACAATAAACAGTGAAGGCAAGAAAGCATTAGGTATACAACGCACATTCAAAATACCCTGGTGCCTTTGGTATTCTAATATGCACAATTTATATTGTAAGCACATGAGGATCTCAGTCTTTTACACCTGGAAGGATGGTACTATAATCTGTAGTCATCAACTATTATTTATATCATTAGTATATCAATTTACCATTTTTAGTTAAAAAATAACAGCTATTTTGAACTAAATGTTTGTGCCTTCCCCAAATTCATAAGTTTAAACCCTAATCCCCATTTTGTTGGTATTTGGAGGTTTGCTTACATAGGAACCGAAGGTGCTGGAGTCCACTCATCCTAATATCTTCCCAATTAAGAAAAAAAAAGATAACATCAGGGTAAAATTTACTTAAACAGGAAGACTGTAGGAGAAAGGACCTTAAAACACCATAGCATACTCTTAATGAGAGTGCATTCAGTATACACTCTTATTATCATCGGTACTTCTCCAAGGGAGAAATTTGGTTTTTTGTTTTACTTAAACAAGAAAACAAACAAACCAAATAAAAACTAAAAGTTATAGATACAACATTATTAAATATTACTCTATGATTTTACAGTTTATTGAAATTTGTTAATTGTACCTCTAAGCATTCACAACATAATACAGTTGCCAAAATTTTTAGTAATAATCTATAAAAATTAGCTTCATGTTATTGATCAATAATTATAACCTAGTTATCTTCTATTGAATGATTAGGGCTAAAATTTACTTAATAAATAACCCAATTATTTAAAGATAACATTAATGTCTCTGACTATCAAAAGAACTACAAGTATACTTTTCTATCTCCTGTTAGAGCCTGATAAACAATGACTTGTAATTAGTATCAGAAATCTTCTGAAAATAGTTATACTTTTATAGAAAGCAAATGGTAGCATTTTGTGTTTAAAGATGCCTCAACAAGTGCTTTACAAACTGGTTTATCCTCTGCTATTTGACATATTTGTGCATCAGTTAAAAAATAAAAAAGCCAAACCTGGATAAATCAATTGTAGTAAGCAGTAATGCTCATAAAATTGGCAAAATATTTTGAGTTCTACATAAAATTGTAAATAAGAAATAAAAGTGCAACTCCATTTTCATTTGTACAACTAGGCCAAAATTTCAATTGATTTCAACTCAATTGTATAATATGCTAATATATTAAAAGAAATATTCAACATCAGTTTTGGGGGGAGTAAAATGACTAAAATGATACCTAACAGATATATAATCTAAAAAAGAAAACAGCCATTTTAAATCTCTATATGCTTTACTGTAAACTATGGAAATGCATGTAGAGACACACAAAATCATTTTGACTATGGATGGTGATATTTGAGTAAATCTTCAAAAATGTTTTAAATTTATATAGAGTATATGAATATACATGGTTATCTGGGTAAACTATTAAAACAACAAAAAATGATATACAAAAGAACTTTGAGAGAAGGCTATGAGGTGGTTAAGATATAAAGATTTTATATATATATATGTATATATATATATATATATATAAATAGTAAATCACCATATATCTGACATTGTTGGAAATGTCTTATGTAACTTGAAATAGACATAGGCAAAGCCTTCATGACTAAAACACAAAAAGCAATTGCAACAGAAGCCAAAATTGACAAATGAGATCTAATTAAACTGAGGAGCTTCTGCACAGCAAAAGAAACTATCATCAGTGTCAACAGGAAACCTATAGAATGGGAGAACATGTTTGCAATCTATCCATCTGACAAAGGGCTAATATCAAGAATCTACAAAGAAATTAAACAAATTTACAAGACAAAAACAATCCCAACAAAAAGTGGGTGAAGGATATGAACAGACACTTCTCAAAGGAAGACATTTATGTGGCCAACAAACATATGAAAAATAGCTCATCATCACTAGTCATTAGAGAAATGTAAATCAAAACTGCAATGAGATACCATCTCACACCAGTTAGAATGGCGATTATTAAAATGTCAGGAAACAACAGATGCTGGCGAGACTGTGGAGAAATAGGAACACTTTTACACTGTTGGTGGGAGTGTAAATTAGTTCAACCATTGTTGTTGGTTGAGGAATTGTTTGTGTTGGTTGTTGAAGAAAGTGTAGTGATTCCTCAAGTATCTGGAACCAGAAATACTGTTTGGCCCAGAAATCCCATTACTGGGTATATAACCAAAGGATTATAAATCATTCTACTATAAAGACACATGCACACGTATGTTTATTGCAGCACTATTTACAATAGCAAAACTTGGAACCAACCAAAATGCCCATCATGATAGACTGGAAACAGAAAATGTGGCACATATACACCATGGAATAATATGCAGCCATAAAAAAGAATGAGTTCATGTCCTTTTCAGGGACATAGATGAAGCTGGAAGCCATCATTCTCAGCAATCTGACACAGGCACAGAAAACCAAACACCACATGTTCTCACTCATAAGTGGGAGCTGAACAATGAGAAAACATGGACACAGGGAGGGGAACATCACACATCGGGGCTTGTCAGGGGGTGGGGGGCAATGCGAGGGACAACATTAGGACAAATACCTAATGCATACAGGGCTTAAAACCTAAATGATGGGTTGATAGGTGCAGCACACCACCATGGCACATGTATGCCTATGTGACAAGCCTGCACCTCCTGCACATGTATCGCAGAACTTATAGTTAAAAAAAAAAGAAAAAGAAATAGTAATGTTGATATTTTATTTTCATTCAAAAGTGATCAACTGTCACACTGAAAGTGATAGAGCTAGGACTCTAACTTCAAAGCCATTGCATATCCCACTATATTATTTGTAGTTTGTGTTAAGGAGCACCTTTTATGTTAAAAAAAAAAACCATACTGCACAATATAATTATTAGACTGCTTATTTTAGCTATTTTAAAAGTAACTTAGCAGGGTAATGATGATAATTATATTTGGAAGTTAATAATAAAACTACAGTTGTTGTGATGATGACAATTAAAATGCAATTATAATACCTGTGTGGAATACATTCTTACTTCTAAGGCAGAAATACATTTTTGCCATGGAGCAAGTGTGAAGTGAATGCTAAGACTATTTAACAAATAACTTACACTGATTTGTCCTCTCCAATATAAAAGTTATCCTCTCCTTACAACGGTATAACATTAATACACCCAAACGCCCACCAAGAATTAGAGCACTTTAAAAAAACTAAAACTAGTTTAGATACAATAGATTCTGTTTTATTCTAGAAGTGAATAGCCTAATGGTTACAAGGGATTCAAGGTTTGCATGTTCTTCCCTTATCATAAGCAGGCATAGTGCAGAGATTACCTGTGAATGAAATAGGAAGGAATGGGAAAAATGCAATTGCTGTTACCCAGTATTTGAACAGACAGTTGCAATTACATTTCTAATAAGTTTGGACAGAGTCTAAAAGGAGATAGGAACCCTGTGCTGCATAAGCAAGTATAATATTCTCATAGACAGTCATTCTTAGCTCAGGTTCATTGCTCCTTTCATTATTATAGGAAGTCTTTCTCTTTCCATTTGCATCAACATGCTCTCTCCACTTCAGTGATCTGTCCTTGCTCAGCCCAGACTGAATTTTAATGCTTAATTTCTATGAGATCAAGAAGCTTTAAAATGGTCCTGTATTCTTTGGCCTGCTTCCCAATAATTTAACATCATAAATAATTTTAAAGCTGGAAAAAAATACATTTTTAGTATATATTTTAACATAATGTATTTAGTTACTCAGTACTCTGTTTTTCCACATTTTCTGTATGTGTAAAGGAATAGATGTATTGAATTTGTAGAATAGAAAGGCAAACCTCTGAGATACATTTTGCCTGTATGATCGGTTATAAAAAATACTTGCTGAAATACAACAATAAGAGGTCTGAATTATAAAAGATTTTTAAATTATTCCAGGTATAAAAAATTATGTAAGTAGCAATCTGATTTTTAATTCAGTGTAGGTTACAACAGCAGTGACCCAAAAATATTTTGCTCGCTGTTGTATCTGCCAGGTTTAGATTTAAGATAATTTGATCAAAAATTAACTATCTAATAAGAAATTACAAAATGAGATTACTTGTGTATTCATACTTTATTGTCATTATAAACTGAAGAAATTTCAACCACAGATCTTGTAATTACAATTTTCTGCCATTAGAAATAGTTTCTAAAATCTAAAAAGAGGCTCTAGAACAAATAAAATAAAATAAAACAAAGTCCCACTAAAATATTGCATATATGTGCTATACTATATCCCATTCTCATGTATTTAATGAGATTTTTTGTCACTTACCATGTTTTTTGCTGTTTAAGTTATTCATACTATTTACATTAAGCCTGAAGGAAATAAAATGAATAGAAATTCTTATATTGAGTTATGTTTTACTCACAGGCCAACAAAACATGATAATGATTCCCATATTTAGCACTTCTGACAAATATCAAAAAGTGATTCTACAAAGCATTTATTGTGTATTTCATTTATATTTTGAATAACAATATATGGAATATCAAGAAATCATTTACATTAATATATACACTAAGATTTTGTTTTATTTTTATTCTTCTAATTATTATTTTTTTAAAGACAGGGTCTTGCTCTGTCACTCAGGTTGGAATGCAGTGGCACAATCATAGCTCACTGAAGCCTCAAATTTCTGGGCTCAAGTGACCATCCTACCTCAGCCTCCTGAGTTGCTAGGACTACTGCTACATGCCAACATGTCCAGCTAATTTTCAAATGTTTTGTAAAGATAGCTTTTCACTACGCTGCCCAGGCTGATCTCAAACTCCTGGTTTCAAGTGATACTGGGATTACAGCTATAAGCCATTGCACCTGGCCTAGGGCCAGATTTTATTACACAAGTTTGGATGCATCATAACAAGACATATTTAGCCAAGTAAATTATCTAATCTGTATAATGAAAATATTGAATCTGATCATTTTAAAGGCAGATATCCGCCTTAAACTATGAGTTGTATAAAGAATCTTAGAAATATTTGCACAGATTAATGTACAGATAATTGATGGGAGTATACTTTATAAACACTGGTTTTTAAAAAGTTCACGTCTGATTAAATGGGTCAGTTAATTAAACTATAGTACATGCATACAATTTATTATAATGAAGATGTTAATACTTACAAAATTTTTAAATTAATTTTATATTTATATTATTATTTCAATTTTAACTTCTAGATAGGGACTCAATTTTAACTTCTAAATGTTGAGAAGGCTAAAATCCTTATCTATATCGTTCACATTCTATCAGTTGTTCTCTATGAATGCACATACACATATTTTATTCAGAAATAAATGTTTGAAATGATATGCACCAAATTTTTTCATCTTAAAGTGAATATCCCTATGTTGTGGGAGTACAGCTAATTTTTAAATTGGTTCTTTGTTCAGTTCTGTATTGTGTGTATTTTTTACAAAAAACATGTATTGTTTTATTTTAAAATAAAAATAGAGAAATACTAATCAATGAATCTTGACTTATTTATTTTTCTATAAGGAAAGTAAAAACCTTTTGTGGCTATAGCAAGCATTTAGAGTCTTATTTTGCCAGCGAATTTCAGATAAATGAATTCTCATTTTGTGCTACTTTAACCATTTCCATTACTGAAATGTTGAGTGATAACAGGGTAGTGGCCCACATTTCCTATGTTTGATTAAATTTCTGTGTCATAACTAAAGATGTGTATCATGTGTACTAATATTTTTAGTCTATTTTTATTACTTCGGGTTTGTATTACTTTAACATGATAGTATATAATATGGATTATGGTTTTGATGAAATAACACTTGAAGTGATATGAATGTGACCTTTAATTGAATCAACTTTGGAAAAGTTTATTATTTTAATTATTATTTTATCAGTGTTAAATCCTCTTCAATTGTGAGTGGACACTACATATCTAGTCAACAAATATTTGTTGAACAACTATATTTCAAGCTTTTTCCTTAATGCTATGTATATAAAAATTAATGAGATTTATAACCTCTTAACAGAGCCCATAACGTCAAGGGGAATTTGATATATAAGCACATGAATTACACTTCATGTGACAATACTGTATTTATGCACAGTTAGAGAGGTTTGTGCGAAGTACAATAGCAAAGTAAAAAAAAATAGATTCGTTTGAAACGTGGTTGGTAGAAGCTAAAGCTCTAAGGAAAGTAGTAGTTACCAAATGTTATTCAGACAGAGGGAAAGCCAATGTATCAAACAACGAATTGTTTAAAAGAAGTGAATGTGAAAAAAATCAGTGTTAACTATTCAATATATGTTCTACTAGTCAACAAGTTACTTTATACCTATGTGTCTGTGGGTGTATGTGTTTGGGGGAGTGTGTGTGTTTGCCTGTATGCCTTTGAAATTATGTTCATGGACAATCTTTGCTCCTAGGACTGTCACAAAAATACATTTTATTGACCTCTTATAGAATATTTCATGCATAATTTTATCCATATAATTTAAACTAAAGTGTTAGAAGTCCTTATAGTTTCCAAAGTGAATACATTCCTGTGTATTTACAATTTCCTTTTCAATGAAAGAAATGATGTCATTATCTTACATCATTAGATGTGTGGTACTGTGAAAAGTTGTATGAGACAATTCACATAGGTAAAATTATATACTCAATTATATGTTACTTGTTATACAAAGAATTCTTTGTTAGCAACTTTTCCTTCGTAAGTGATAATTCTTGGTTGGTACCATAGTGAACATGTTAAAATTAGTAACATTAATCCATTTATAGAAATAACACAAACATTAGACTGGGATTCAAATTTTATTTATTTTTTCATTTACTAACAAGATGAAATATATAATGAAAACTGACATTAGGTTGTTTCTAAAAAGACAGTTACTAAGAGCAAATTGATTTATTCTATCCCTGCTTATAAAGAAGATAAAAATAAAATATTTAAGAAAATAACTGTGGTTTCAAGGAACTAAAATTATTTGCAAATATTGAATGTAAGTTGAAAAGAAGAGAATATATATTGGCGATTTGAAAACGAAATTGCATTGTCTGTGAAAGGCTATCATTCCTAAGCTTAGTAGCCAGTAGTTTAAAGAAACAAGTTACTATAGTAGATATTGAAATTGTAATAATTGCCTTTAATTAGTTTATTTACTAATGGTTTTTCTCTAGGAGTAGTTCTACTTCTGTATCTAAGCAACATTATAACAGTGTCCAAAAAACAACACCTAATTATTATTTTGCATATTATGAAGATTTAAAGAGGATGTTTTGGGCTTTAATTTATATTGTAATGTGTTTACAGAAAAGTCTACAAATCGTAAGGGTAACCAACACAATGAATATTTTTAGCAAAGTGAACATTTTTATACAACCAGTACTTAGAATATTTGCAGCACTCCAGAACATGCCCGTATATCCCATCTCATTACTGCTATGCCTCCACCTCCCATTATAATCATTACCTTGCTACTAATAGCCTGGATTCATACTGTGTATTTGAAAAAGAAATAGAATTTAAAAACACAAGTTAAGTAAGAATATGCTTGGTAGAATTAAAGGAAGCAAAATCAATTTAGCATTCTTAGAGTGCTATGTATTTGTTAAATATGAAATTACATGTAGTACACTTCTGTGTACACTCTACTCCAAAAAGATAATTCCTTAATTCCCTTATGACAATTCTTATTAAATTTAAAATTCAAAAAAAATTATTACACAAACCCCATAGGCAGAGGACAGAAATTGATTCCCATTCATGCCTGCATTGATTCAGTCATTCATTAATCAAAGCTTAGCAAAAGACCTATTATATGCAAGATTGTATAAGTTATGAAAACATGACTAAAATTCACTTTCTACCCTCGAGAGGTGTAGCGTGAAGAGGTCCAGAATGGCAGGTAAATAAATGTTTGCAACTTAAAGAATTGAATGCCATAATAGTCTAGGGATATGTAGCAGATGTTAGAGGAAAAGAGATAGGTTAGCAGCAAAATGAAACCATGACAACTTTAATTATTTTTATGGATATGCTAATGAGACTAACCTTTTAGATGGAGTGAACTTACCAAGGATATGAAGTATTAAGGTATACAGATTACTAATTTATGTGAATTTTATTCTTATATGTAAATATATGCCATATACATTTAAGATTGAAGATAAAAATATCAAAAAGAGAAATATGCATAATAAATTATTTTTAAAGCCTGTTGATATTTTTCTATCAGCTACATCAAAACAGAATTTTAAAGTTTAAAAAGTCAGAATGGTTTATTTGTCCACCGAGAGAACAAATAAATGAATGCTTTCCCATAAATACTATTTGGACATTAATTGTTAAGAATAAATGAAAAGCATTTTATGGTGAGTGGATTTTCAGTTGAATGACCACGCTTGATTATTAAATCAAGCATAATATGTAAGATCCTCTTTAAGAGCCTTAAAGAAAGCATCCTATATTTTCATTCTTTTATTTTTCAGATTCAGTTATTATTCTGTAAATATAAGATCACCTAAAAAGCAGCAAAAATGTTAGGAGAAGCTGTGGCTCAAAATAAGAATATGTCTTATATGTTGATGTGTGTCATATAATTCATAAATATGTGGTATATATAAGCATACACATATTTGAATATATAAATGTACATTTTAGATATAAATTTTTATTTTAACTAATTGTAGATTTACATACAGCTGTAAGAAATAATAAAAAGAGCTCTCATGTACACTTTATGGATTTCCCTACAATAGTAACAACTTAGAAAACTTATAACACAATACCACAACCTGTATATTGACATTGATAGAATAGATGGATATTATTATTTCCCCAGTTATACATGTATGGGTGAGTGTGTGTGTGTGTGTGTGTGTGTGTGTGTGTTGTGTATTTGAGAGAGAGAGAATTAATGTTTAGTTTTGTTTTTGTTTTTGAGATGGAGTCTCACTCTGTCACCCAGGCTGGAGTGCAGTGGCATGACCTCGGCTCAGTGCAACCTTTGCTTCCCGGGTTCAAGTGATTTTCCTGCCTCAGCCTCCTGGGTAGCTGGGATTATAGGCATGTGCCACCATTCCTGGCTATTTTTTTTTTTTGTATTGTTAATAGAGGCGGGGTTTCACCATGCTGGCCAGGCTGGTCTCAAACTCCTGTCCTCAGGCAATCCACCCACCTCGGCCTCCCAAAGTGCTGGGATGACAGACATGAACCACCACACCTGGCCTAATGTTTAGGTTTAATATTTAGATCTAAGTATTTTATCACATGGTTAGGTTCAGGTACTCAGCATGACACTCATCACATAGATAAGTTCCATGATTAAAAGTGTCTCTCATGTTGCCCTTTTATAACTACGATTACCTCTCTCCTCTCTCTACTATACCCCATTCTAAACACTGTAAAACATTAATCTGTTATTTATTTCTATGATTTTGTCTTTCAAGAATATTATGTAAATGCATGTTTGATGTTATATAACCTTATGTTAGCTTTCGATATTAAATGTTTTAACTTTGCATAATTCCCCACCTATCCATATAGGTTTTTGTGAATATCAATAGTCCCTTCCTTTTTATTGCTGAGTATATTCCATTGTTGGTATTGTGTACCATACTTTTTTAACCATTTATCCATTAAAGAACATCAGATGTGTTTCTATTTTTTAGTTGTTTTATTTTATAAGATTTTAATTTTAGAGCAGTTTTAGGTTCACAGTACAATCAATAAAGATATTCAGAGATTTCTCAGAAAACCCTGACCTGCACACATATAGCCTCTTTGAAGTATCAATATCCTCCACCAGAGTGGTAAATTTGTTACAGTTGATAAATGTTAACATCATAATCACCCAAAGTCTGGAGTTCTCTCTTTGTGGTGTACGTTCTGTGGGTTTGGACAAATGATAATTACATGATTTATCATTATAGTATCATATAGAGTATGTTACTGTTCCAAAAATCCTCTGCACTCTATCTTTTCAACCTTTTCTCCCTCAACCTGTGACAGCCAGTGATATTTTTAATGTCTCCATAGTTTTACCTTTTCTAGAACATCATACAGTTGGAATCACATAGAAGTGACTTTTCAGATTGCCTTATTTCACTTATTAATATGCATTTAAGGTTCTTCCATTTTTTTATGGCTTGATATCACAAATATTTTAGCACTGAATAATATTCCACTCTCTGAGGGGAAAGTAGTTTTTTTACTTCTTTGCCTACTGAACGATATCTTGGTTGCTCCCAAATTTTGGCAATTATGTATTTGTAAGCATGCTATGCACATCCATGTACAGGTTTTATGTGGACATAAGTTTTCTACTGCTTTGGGTAAATACCAAGGAACACAATTGCTGAATTTTATGGTACTAGTATTTTTTTATGCCAAACTGTCTTCCAAAATGGCTGTTTTTTTGTTTTTGTTTTTGTTTTTTACCAGTAATGCATATAAGTTCCTACTGCTCTACAAAATTGCTAACATTTGCTATTGTCAGTGTTTCAGATTTCGGCCCTTTGGATAGATGTGTAATGTATCTCACAATTGCTTTAATTTTTATTTCCCTGATAGCATATGATATGGAGTATCTTTTTATATATTTAATTTCCATTTGTATGTTTTCTTTCATAAGTTAAGTGTCTGTTAAGATCTTTGGCCTATTTTTTAATTGGTTCTTTACAATCTTGCTGTTGAGTTGTAGTAATGCTTTGTGTATTTTGGATAACAGTCTTTTATCAGATGTGTCTTTTGCAATTTTTTTCCCCAATCTGTGGCTTGTATTTTCATTCTCTTGACATTATCTTTTGAAAAACAAAAACTTTAGTTTAAGTTTTAGTGACACCCAGCTTATCAATTGTTTATTTCATGAATTGTACCTTTAGCGTTCTATCTAAAAAGTCATTGCCATATTAGGATATGATATTTGGATTTAATATATGGATATATTTGGACATGCCTATGACTTTTTAGATAGAACACTAAAGGCACAATCCAAATTTTCTGGGACTTTGACAGTTTTACATTTTATATTAGATCTATGATCCATTTGGTGTTAATTATAATGAGTGTAAGACTCATGTTTTGTCTAGACTCATTTTCTTGGCATGTGGACGTCCAGTTGTTTCAGAAAAGTTCATTTAAAAGACTGTCTTTGCTCCATTTTATTGCTTTTGTATTTTAGTCAAAGATTAATTTATTGTATTTATATGAGTCTACTGGAGGGAGTCTCTATTTTATTTCACTAATTCATTTGTCTATTTTGGTTTTACCAATACCATGCTGTTTTGGTTATTGTAGCTTTATAGTACATCTTTGCTTCAGATAGTGTAAGTCCTCCAACTTTCTTCTTCTTGGGAGTTTTGTCTCACCTCATAAACAAAATAACTTGCTGAGATTTTAATTAGGATTGCACTAAACCTATACATCATGTTGGGAAAAATTGACATGTTGTCAATATTGAGCCTTTCTTTCCATGAACATGGAATGTTTCTTCTTTTATTTGTTTTTCTTTCATTTATTTTATTAGCTTGTAGGTTTTTAAAATATAGATATTATACATATTTTGTTAGTTTTATACCTAAGCATTTCATTTTTTGGTGCTAACATAAATTGTATTGTGTTTTTTATTTCAAATTCCACTTTTTTGCAGGAAAACAATTGCTTTTTATATAATAACCTTGTATCTTGCAACCTTGCTATAATCACTTATTATTGCTAGGAGTTTTAAAATTTCTTTCAGATATTCTATATAATCATGTCATATTTAAAAACAGTTTTCTTTCATCTTATCCACGTACATTTTTCTTTGCTTTATTTTGTTGCACTACCAAATAATTCCGTTAACATGATGAAAATATGATAAAGAGAACATCTTTGCCTTAGTTCTAATTTTAGTGGGGAAGCTTCTAGTTTCTAATCATTAAGTATCATGTTAATTGTAGAGTTTTTGTAGGTATTCTTTATTCTGTGAAGAAAGTCCCCCCGTATACCTAGTTTACTGAGAGTTTTTATCATTAATGGGTGTTGGATTTTGGCAAATGCCCTTTCTGCATCTCTTGATATGATTGTATCTTTTTTTCTTTGTTAGCCTATTGATATGATAAACTCTAAAACTTGATTTTCAAATGTTGAACCATCTTTGTGTACCTGGGATAAATCTCACTTCATCATGGTGCATAATTCTTTTTATATACTATTGGATTTAATTTGCTAATATTTTGTTGAGGATTTTTGCATCTATATTTGTGAGAGATATTGGTCTGTAGATTTCTTTTCTGTTTGTGACTTTATCTGGTTCTGTTATTTGTGTACTGTTCGCCTTACATAATGGGTTAGGAATTATTCCTTCCGCCTCCATTCTCTGAAAGAGATTTTAGACCATTAGTATAATTTCTACCCTTGTTTAATTTACATGAAAGTACTTCATTATGTTCAGTTCAATTTTAAATGTTGTTGTGTTTCTTATTTGTTTTGTGTTGCATTTTGAATTTCAGTTTCCACATGTTTATTATTAATATAAAAATGCAATTGTGTTTGTTTTTCTCGTATACATTGCTGAACTCATTGATTAGTACTAAGAGTTTATTTTTGTAGATTCCCTGGAATTCCTGTATAAAGAATCATGCTATCTGAAAACAGTTTGCATGATTTTTATATTTTTTATTGCCTTATCAAGTTGAAGTCCCCCTCTATTACCAATTGCTAAAGCTTTTATCACGAATGCATGTTGAACATTATCAAATGTTTTTTTCTGCATTCATTGATATGACCATATGATTTTTCCCCTTTCTCTGTTGATAGGGTGGATTACACTGATTGATTTTGAAATACTGAACTTACCTGTAATAGATCTCGCTTTATTATGGTATATAATAATTTTAATACATTGCTAAATTTAAATTGTTTATATTATGTTTAAGTTTTTGCATTTAAGTTCATGAGGAATCATGGTCTGCAGTTATCCCTTTTTGTAATATTTTTGTAAAGTTTTCCTATTAGGATAATATTTGTCACCTAAAATGGAAAGTGTCCCCTCCTCTTTTATTTTCTGCAATGGGTTGTACAAAACTGGTATAAAGATTCTTCCAGTGTTAGGTAAAATTCTCCAGTGAAGCCTTTGTGGCCTGGGGATTTATTTTTCCAGAAACACGTTAGGTATGTTGATTTGGGGGTAATATTTGTGGCCTGTAGCTCCAATAACAATATAGCTTGCTGATCTCTTGCTATGCTATGCTGGTTTATTATATTTATCCAGCTTTTCTGGAGCTCGTGCTGAATTCTAGCTGTGTTCGTTGTAGCAGTAGATTATACTTCCCTGGCCTTCAGGTGTTTCTAGGTATGAGGAGGGATTGTGGGATATCTGGCCTATGAGAAAAGGGAGATTTCCCCTGGCCTGTTTTTCTGACATCTGGTGCCAATGGAATTCTCATTTTATCTCGTAGGCCAGTGCCAATGTGGGAACACCACACCCACTGACCTGAGCTACCTTTTGCTGGTGGTGAGTGAGGGGTGGTAGAAGTATGGGAGTACTTGGGATGAGTTTTCCTTCTGCTGCTAGGTGAAGAGCTAAGTTGGCTGCAGTCTCAGTAGAAGGTTAGAAGACTTGCTGCTGCTTAGGTTTGAGCAGAAGATGGGATGTTCCACCAGGGCTCTGCTGGCACCACCGCTGTAGGAAGAGAAGCCACTGCTGCTGACAGGTGATTTGAGGGGATGGGTCTCTCCATTTTCCCATTAGATAACTGATGTTATTTCTCTTGTCCACAGTTCTTTATCTGGCTTTAAAATATTTATATTTCTTTTGAGGGAGATGTAGGGAGAGCTGTGTATGTAGGTGGTTGCAAGGATCTCTGGTGGACAGTTAAGAATAACTAAGGGTTCAAAGAAAACCTATGGAATTCAAAGGAATATTGCTGCTTTAAGTTCTGAGATCTCTAACCTGGATGACTTCATTCCACTTTTCAGAGTCCTGTTATTATTGTTAATTATTCCCAGAGTATTTGGTTGTGTTTAGAGGGGAAGAGGAGGTAGAGGGAAAGGTGAGTCTGTGCAATCTTGTCTGGAAATGAAAGTCTTTTTCTTTCTTTCTTTTTTTTGAGACGGAGCTTACTCTGGTGCCCAGGCTGGAGTGCAGATTGCTCACTGCAACCTCTGCCTCCCGAGTTCGAGTGATTCTCCTGCCTCAGCATCCCAAGTAGCTGGAACTACTGGTGTGAGCCACCACGCCTGTCTAATTTTTGTATTTTTAGTAGAGACGGGGTTTCATCGTGTTGGCCAGGCTGGTCTTGAACTCCTGGCCTCAGGTGATCCACCTGCCGTGGACTTCCAAAGTGCTGGGATTATAGGCATGAGCTGCCATGCCCTGCCTTGGAATGAAAGTCTTAATGGTGGCTTTTAGATGTGGTCAAATGATTTTTCTCTATCTCCTGAGATAAGCATATATGTTAATATAGTACATTACACTGGTTAACTTAAAATTAAATAATTTTGAATTGTTGTAAACTATACTCATTTTCCAAGGATAAACCTAACTGGGTTGTGATGTAGTATCCTTATTTATTTTTGGATTTCTTTTGGTAACATTTAACAGATTCTGCATTGATCTGCATGAGTGATCTTGATCTGTAGTTTTATTTTCTAGTAATATATCTGCCAGGTTTTGTTTTTAGGGTAATGTTTGATTCATTTGGAAATGTACCCTCCTCTTCAATTTTCTGAAATAAATTGTGTAAAATTGGTCTTATTTTTTCAGCAACTTTTGGGTAGAATTCTGTAATGAAACCATCTGGACCGACAGTTTTCACTCCAAGAAAGTTTGCATAATCTTTTCAAGAGATATAGGGCTGTCCAGATTATGTATTTTCTCTTGAGCGAACTTTTGTCATATATGTCTTTCAAAAAAATTGTTCATTTTCTTTAAGTTTTCAAACTTGTTTGTCTAATGCTGTTTACAAAATTTCTTTATCATCTTAAGATATGTGGGATATTTATAATCCTAGAGTGATACAGCTTTTCATTTGTTATTGAAAATATGTGTCTTTCCTTCTATTTATGGTCAGTGTTATGGGAATATGATCAATGAATTAAATATTCTACATGTTAAAAAGTTAATAAAAGAACACTATAAATAACTTTAAGCCAACAATTTCTGCAAATTAAATTAAATTTTAACATTTTATTAAAATTAAAACAAAATAAAATACCTAATGGCCCCTGAATCTGTTAGAAATTTAATAATTTGTTTTAAATATATATACAATATATATAGATATAATATATAGATATATATATATTATATATATAAAAGTTACAAACAAACAAATAACATTTCTTCCTACCTTACAAGATTTCTGCTGAGAATTCCACTGGTATTTTTTTTTTGTCTTTTACTTTTGACAATTTGATTATAATGTATGTTGGAATGTCCTCCTTTGAGTAAATTTTACTTAAGGGTCTTTGGGCTGCATAAATTTGTATGTGCATATCCCTATCAACATTTGGGAAGTTCTCAGCCAGTATTTCTTTAAGTAAGATGTTTATCTTTTCTCTCTCTCTTCTCCTACTGGAAATTCCATAAATTATATGTTCATATGCTTGATAGTGTGCCATAGGTCCCTCATACTTTGTTCACTTATTTCATTCTTTTTTTCTTTTGTTTCCCCAAGTGGCTAATTTTAAATAACATGTCTTAAAGTTGACTAATTCCTTCTTCTGCTGAATGAACTTTAAAAGATTTTTAATAGAAGTTTTTTGGTAATCAAAAAGAAAAACATATAGTAGAAATGCTTTTTAAAGTTCAGGCATGGTGGCTCATGCCTGTAATCCCAGCACTTTGGCCAGCCTAAGTAGGAAGATCATTTGAGGCCAGGAGTTTGATACCAGTCTGAGGAACATGGCAAAACCCCATCTCTACTAAAAAAACGAAAATTAGCTGGACATGGTGGTGCCCTACTGTAGTCCCAGCTAAACAAAGGAGAGGTGGGAAGATCCTTTGAGCCTGGGAAGCAGAGGTTACAGTTAGCTGAGATTGCGCCACTGCACTCCAGCCTCACAAAAGAGTAAGACTCTGTCTGAAAATAAAGAAAAAAAAAGAAATATTTTTTAAAAACACGAAAAGAATCAAAGAATACACTGTTAAACAAATGAAAACTATGACAACAAGAAAGGAGGAAAAGAACAAAAGAACTACAAAACAGGAAACAATGAACAAAATGACAACAGTAAGTCCTTACCAATAATTAGTTTCAATGTAAATGGCTTAAATTATGATTGCAATTTAATGGAAAATCAAAACGGAAAAGTCACAGAGTGACTGAATGAGTAGAAAACCAAGATCCAACAATATGTTTCCCACAAATGATTCAACTTAGCTTAAGTATACACAGAGGATGAAAGTGAAGGGATGGAAAAACTATTTCATGTAAATGGCTTTATATATAACACACATAGCTGTGTTTGTGTGTGTGTGTGTGTGTGTGTGTGTGTGTAGAAGAAAAAATAAACCTTTAGTCAAAATCTGTCCCAAGGCAAAGTAGGTTACTCTAAAATGATAAAGGGGTCAATTAATCAAAAAGACAGAACAATTCTAAATGTATATGCACCCAGCATTGAAACATCTATAAAGCAAATATTAAGTTGATTGAAGAAATAATTATTAAACAATACAATAATAGTTTGGGATTTCAATATCCCATTTTCAACAATGGACATATCTTCCAGACAGAAAAATCTTTACGAAAGCAGGAAACTTAAATATCACTATAAAACAAATGGACCTAAAAGCCATATACAGACATTCTATCCAAAAGCAGCAAAATACACATTCTTCTCAAGCACATACAGAACATTTTCCAGGATAGATCATTTTTATTATTTCCCTCTAGTCTGGCTACTTGCATTCAGCATAGTAGTGAAAGTCCTAGCCAGAGATATTTGGCAAGAAAAATAAATTTTAAAAAACATCCAATTTGGAAAGAAATAAGTTAAATTGTCTCTGTTTACAGATGCCATGGCCTTATACTTAAAATATCATAAACACTTTACCAAAACACTGTAAGAATTAATAAATAAATTCAATAAAGTTGAAAGGTACAAATCAACACATAAATCAGTAGCACTTCTATACACTAACAACTATCAAAAAAGTTAAGAAATCAGTCCCATTTACAATAACTGCAAAAAAATATGCTTAAGAATACATTTAACCGAGGAAGTGAAAGACATGTAAAATAACAACTGTAGAATATTGAGGAAAGAAATTGAAGATGACACAAATTAGTGGAAAGATATTCCATGCTCATGGACTGAGGAATTGATATTGTTAAAATGTCCATAGTACTTAAAGCAATCTACCAGTTCAATGTAATTGATATAAAAATTACAATGACATTTTCCACAGAAATACAAAAGGCAATATTGAAATTTCTATGCAACTACAAAATACCCCCCAGAAAAACAATTTTGAAATATTTATGCAACTACCAAAGACTGCAAATAGCCAAAGGAGTCTTGAGAAAGAAAAGCAATGCTAGAAGCATTACACAATGATGTTTCAATATATAATATGAAGCTATAGGAATCAAAACACCATGCTACTGGCATTACACAGATACATAGACCAATGGCACACAATAGAGAGCTCAGACATTAATCAATACATTTAGGATCAATTGATCTTTGACAAAATTGACATGAATCTCAAGGCAGAAAATACAATCCCTTTAATAAATGATGTTGGGAAAGCTGGATATCCATATACATAATGAATTCAATCCTTATCTCATACCATGTATAGTAATCAACCCAAATTTATTACAGATTTAATTAAATGTAAGTCCTAAAACTGTAAGACTACAGAAGAAAACATAGAGAAAAAAATTCCTTGATGTTAGTCCAAGGAATGATTTTTTTTTTATGTTCCCCTGAAAGCATAGGAAAAATGCAGAATTCGATGTATTGACTGCATCAAACTGAAAAGTTTTTGCATAGCAGAAGAAAAAAGCAACACAGTGAAGATACAGTCTACAGAACAAGTGAAAATATCAGCAAGCTATATATCCCAAAAGGGGTTAATATTCAAAATATATAAGTAACTTAAATACCGTTATAAGAATAAAGCAAATAACCCAATTAAAATCTCTATAAGAATAAAACAAATAACCCAATTAAAAAATGGTCAAAGGACCTAGATAGACACTTTTAAAAGAAGACATGCAAATATCCTATAGGAATATGAAAAAATATTCAAGATTACTAATTATCAGAGCAATGTACATTAAAATTACCATGAGATATCACCCCTACCTAATAGAATGACTTTTCTCAAAAATAAAAAAGATAATTGTTGGCAAGGATGTGGAGAATGGGGCTCACTTGTGCACTGTTAGTGAGAATGCAAATTGCTGCAACAATTATAAAAAACAGTATGGATATTCTTCAAAATATTTAAAAAGTAGAATTATATGATTCAGCAATCTCATTTCTGGCATATATCTAAAGTAAATGAAATCAGTATGTCCAAGATATATCTGCACACTCGTGTTCATTGCTGCATTATACATAATAGTCTAGATATAGAACCAAGCTAAATGTCCATCCACAGATGAATGCATATAAAGAAAACGTTACACACACACACACACACACACACTGGAATAGTTGTCAGCCTTATAAAAAGGAAATTATGTCATATGTGACAACATGGATGAACTTGGAGGACATTAGGCTATGTGAAATAAGCCAAGCACAGAAAGAAAAATAATAAGTTATCTCACCTATATGTGGAATTACAAAACAATGAATGTATAGGATCAGAGAACAGAATAGTGGTTTCCAGGGGCTCGGGTGGAGGAATGGGGAGAAGTTTGTCAAAGGACACAAAGTTACAGTTAGGCTGAATGAATGAGTTCTGAGGATCAATTATACAGCATGGTGACTATAGTTAATAACTGTATTGTGTACTTAAGAGTAGATCCTAAATATATATATATATATAAAATATATATATACACACACATATATATTTATATATATACATAGATATATTTTTATCTATATATAAATATATATCCTAAATATATGTATGCACATATATACACACACACACATATATATATATACACACACACACATACACATTCATTCACAAAAACCCTAAGCAAACTAGGAACAGAAGGATTGACCCTTAATCTCATGAAGAGCATTTTAATAAATGTGTAGCTAACATTGTACATTGGGCAAAATATTAAACATATTTCCTATAAATTTGGGGAAAAGGGCAAGAAACCTCACTCTCACCACATATATGAACATTTTAGTGGAAATCTTAAGTACTGATATTAGGCAAATTAGAGAAAAGACAAGAACTGAAATATTCAAAGTTGTTAATACGTCATTTATTTCTAAATTGATCTATAGCTGTGATGCAATCCGAGTCAAAATCCCAGGAGCACTTTTTGTAGGAATTGGCAAGGTTGTTATAAATAATATATGTCAATACAAATAACCTAGAAATCATTTTAAAAATGAGCAAAATTTGATCACTTAAATTACTTGACATCCAGTTTTATTATAAAGCTACAGATATTGTACTGACCTAAGGGTTGACACATATATCAGGCAACAAAGCAAATAGCAAGAAGTAGACCTTTATTTAATAATTCGACTCTCAAAATTTATATCTGACAGAATATTCTTAACCAAAGGTAGGAAGTTGAGAAGGGAGGTGAAAAAGAACTCATACAATTGAAAAATAAAAAGACAAAATAAGTGGGAGAGACAGTAAAATGGGCAAACCTTTTAAACCATCACTTTAAAAAGTAAATTTATGGAGTCCTTTCACCATTGCTTGTTTTTGCTGACTTTGTCAAAGATCAAATGGTTTTAGATGTGTAGCTTTATTTCTGGGTTCTCTATCCTGTTCCATTGGTATATGTGTCTTGTTTCTGTGCAAGTACCATGCTGTTTTGGTTACTGTAGCCTTATAGTACAGTTTGCAGTGAGATGATATGATGTATCTTACTTTATTCATTTTGCTTATAATTGTTTTGGCTATTTGGACTCTTTTTTGGTTCCTGGTATTGCCATTTCAGTGATATTTATTATTCCAATATATGAGAATGGAATGTTTTTCCATTTCAGTGGTGCTGGGATAACTGGCAAGCCATATGCAGAAGAGTGAAACTCTTCTACCTTTCACATTACAAAAATTAAATCAAGATGGATTAAAGACTTCAATGTAAGACCTCAAACTATAAAAGTCCTAGAAAAAAACCTAGGTAGGAATGGTAGGAAATATCTTTCTAGACATTGACCTTGGCAAAGGATTTATGACTAAGTCCTAAAAAGTAATTGCAAAAAAAAACAAAAATCACCAAGTGGGACCTAATTAAACTAAAGCACTTCTGCACAGCAAAAGAAACTATCAACACAACAGAAAGCTTACAAAATGGGGAAAAATATTCACAAGCTATGCATCTGACAAAGGTCTAATTTCCAGAATCTATAAGAAACAATTTAACAAACAGTAAACAAATAACTCCATTAAAAGATGGGCAAAGGACCCGAAGAACACTTCTCTAAAGAAAACATACAGGGAACAGGCGTGGTAATTCTTGCCTTTAATTCCAACACTTTGGGAAGCTGAGGTGGGCAGTTCACTTGAGCCAAGGATTTGAGACCAGCCTGGTCAACATAGCAAAACCCTGTCACTTGTAGTGAAATACAAAATTAAGTCGAGTGCAGTGGTGTGTGCCTGTAGTCCCAGCCACTTAGGAGGCTGAGGTGGGATGATTGCTTGAGCCCTGGAGGCAGAGGTTGCAGTGAGCCAATATCATGCCACTGCACTCCAGCCTGGGTGACAGAGCAAGAATATGTCTCAAAAAAATAAAAAGACATACAAGCTGCCAACACACATATGAAAAAATGCTCAACATCACTAATCATCAGAGAAATGCAAATCAAAACCACAGCGAGATACTATCTCATACCAGTTAGAGTGGCTGTTATGAAAAAGTAAAAAAGAAAAAAAAAAACAGATGTTGATAAGGTTGTGGAGAAAGGAAACATTTATACGCTGTTATTGGGAATACAAATTAGTTCAGCCGCTCTGGAAATCAGTTTGGAGATTTCTCAAAGAACTTAAAACGGAATTACCATTTAATTCAGCAATCCCATTACTGGGTATATACCCAAAGGAAACAGATCTTTATACCAAAAAGACATGCACTAATAGATTCATCAGAGCACTATTAACAATAACAAAGACATGGAATCAATCTACATGTTCATAAATGGTGGACTATATAAAGAAAATATGGTACAGATAAAACATTAATGGTAGAACTAGATGGTGTATATGCACTTGTTCATTGCAATTTTTTTTATTTTGGGATATGTTTAAAATTTTTCAAAATTGAAAAACTATTAACAAATAATATTGGATACAAGATCTACCCCAAAACCTTATCTTGCTATATTTTAAATGAAGGAGACTGCATTTTTACTTTAGAAATATTTCCATGAACATTCTCTAAAAATCTATTTCATTTTGTGTGCTCCATCTAATAAACTTCCCTTTAAGACTCTAACAGAGTCATGTTTTCAATGGCACTTACTTTCTCTAGGCACATTTACTATTCCTGCAGAGAAGTTACAGCACAAAGATTCCAATAAGTATTAATTAAAATGCTTAAATATTTTCCTTTTTTACAGTTTTGTCAAAGTACACATTCCACTTTCCTAATATCTGTAATTCTTACACTGAAACATCTGGTTGTACACTCCTCCAAATTTTTGTTTCAAGTCACAAGAAATATCTCTTCACTGCTCAAGCTATATTATAAAAAATATTTAACACTAAATACAAATTTCAATTCCATAAGATTATTACCATCATGATTTCAAAAATATGTAGACAATCATCTGTAGAAGCTAAGCTTATAATATTTTGCATTAATAAGGACCTAGATTTTAATATCAGCTCAGCTCTCTAGTAATGTGAGATAGGAAATTTTCTTCAGTTGCCTTATCTTGATTTTCCCTGAGTCATTAATTGATCATTAAGTAAAATATTTATATAACTGTCTAGTGTAGTTCTTTATATATTATATGTATTCAATCCATAACAATCATCTGCATTATTATAAAAGTGAAAACTATAAAACAGTTATTTTAAATAATCAAAATTATAACTTACCATATTGCATATTCACTGAATTTTTCACAGCATCATATTTTAATTTGTTTTTAAAAAATGAGTCATACCTCAAAGAGTGTTTAAAAAGTAAGTGAAAATTTGAAAGAAAAAATAAATAAATAAATTGTGTGAGTCTAAAGCTACATGTCTCTAGCTGAAAACAGACCAAAAAGTATATTACCACAGAGGTGTATTTCAAAAGATTAAAGTGTTTTTCCCTGAAATAAGAAATAAAAATATGAAATTCAAAATAGATAAAAATCGATAAAATCAGCTGGAAAAGCATGTATTAACATTAAATATATTTAAAAAACCTATTGATGATCAAATTTTCCTTAAATAGTATGGTATTTTTATTATTTGTGAATTAATCTGAGACACCTTCCAGGTAGATTTCCATTAAATGTATATTTTAATGGCACTTAGTGAAAGGTTCTCTGGACCCAATGGTTCTTAAATAAACATGATTGCTGGAAGGTCCTTGGGATAGTGAAGGTTGATACCACTATTAATTTTAGGAGTATAAGAACAAAGGAGCACTAAGGTTTTCATCTGACAGTTATGTGAGCTGGCTTCCACTATAATAAGTGTAGGTGCGGTAGGATAGGAACAATCGAGTTGTCAGACACTATACTACCAAAGATGCAGAAAGTAAAAAATATGACAAAGTAAGGAATACTAGGGGATGTATGCAGATGTGGAATTGCATGTAAAATTCAATCCCTTTAGTCCATCGGAGGGATTCTCTCATTTTTAAAAATGTTTCAATGAATATGGAAAACAATGTGAAGAATATTTCATAAAAGTTCATATGTTGAAATTTTTTTAATTTAGCCTAAGGAAAAATGTCATGCACATATTTTTACTAATAAACATTCCATATTCTATAATCAGAAATCAAACACCACTAACTTGATAACAGGGAGGTACAAGAGGAGACTAGAAAATCAGACAACAAATGACTTGGGTGCCATATAGAAACTGGATTCAAGCTTTTAATTATTAGAAGGTATATTTTAATGCACATGAGAGAAGGTATAACAATAAGTAATGGCTTCATAATTGTTAACAATTTTATTTATAATTAATTATATGTTTTCTTAATGGTGAATTATTAATAAAGTCATGTTCTACCTTTATGTGTATTTACCTATTTACTGATATCTTACACTGCACATCTATTAATTTTCATAGATTACCTAATCTGCTTCTCTTTCTAGGCTTGGCTAATTCTAACTCCTTCTCGAGTTAGGGTAGGTCAGTGGGAGATAGCTCTAAGAAAATCATCCACCATGCATTAAAGAGAAACAATTTATTGATTTCTGTTTATCACCTTTAAGAGTTGTTTATGTCCCAGTATATGAATCTTCTCTTGAATACTTATTCAAAATACATTTACCTCATTGAAGTTCATTTTCACTCTTTCCATTGTGCCTTTTGATGAACAGTTCTAAAGAGTCTATTTTATCATTTATCCCTTTATATTTGGAGCTTTGTTTCACTTGCACAAGACAATTTTTCCTAAATTAAGGACATGATGGTGGTTTCCTAATGTTTTCTTTCAGGAAGTTTATTGATTATTCATTTAGAAGTACTATTCATCTAGTGTTTTGGTATATGGAGTAAAATGGAGGCCAAGATTCCTTCTTTCCACTTAGAAAATACATTTACTCACTGACACTGGAATTGGGAACTTTATGATTAGTCTTCATATATGGTAAGCTAAATTTCATGGATTTATTTTCCATTTTTAAGATCACTTTAGCTCTTTTTGGATCATTTTGTTTCCAAGTGAATTTTAGAATCAGCTAGACAGTGCCCACAAAATACCCACTTGTATTTTGACTGCATTAATTCTATATCTAAATTTGGAAAAGAGTATTAAATTAAATTTTTAATATTCTATTACCTGTGGCATTACACACAAGACACCGTTTCATATGTAAATTAATTGATAAATGGTAGTAATAAGAAAGATTATGAAAGAGTAAAATGTAAATCAAAAGCAATGAGTATTGAATCAGGAGATGGATGTATGTTTGAGAAGAAGAAGGAAAACTATAGAAAATAGAGAATAGAAATCTGGATTGCTTCCTGATGTGCCATATTCAAGGGATCTGGCAGTGTTTCAGTGTACAAACATGTTATAAATATAAAATACCAACATACACGCACACAGACAAACACATACATACAAATTACTTTGCTTTTCTTGTCCAATTCTTTTCCATCTGGTGTTCTCATTCTAATTTAGTGCTTACTGAACATTATTGTAATATAAAAGGATAGACAATTTAGATAATTAAGAATTACTTGGTATTAACAAGTATCAATCCAAATATGCATATTTGAATTATTCATATAACATTATAAATATGTATATATATGACAAATTATATTTTTTGAAGAGATAAAAATTCATATGGCCCAGGAGGATCATTTTCTTTTTTGTTCTAACTTAGTAAAAAGCTAATGAGCTGGGTTAAACCAATCTGCTGAGAGACTTAGATTGTCAGCATTCTTGACTTACAAGGCTGTTCCTAGCATCTCCATATGTAAACCTTGGTTCTCAGTATGCATACTTTCTATTTAGTTACTGGTACTGACAAATTTTTGTTTCTTATAGAAACTTTGTGTTGCTCCCTTTCCTCTTAAGCTAACATCTACATATGTAACACAATGTTTGTACAGAACTTCTTCTCTTGGAGTGCTTTTAATTTCATGTCAAGCATGCCATTCAGGCAGACCCCTACCTCCTGGAATTCTGGACATGCATACAGAACATCCATATCCATGCTATACTATACAATGTTGAAAGTTTGGAGGGTGAGCATGTACTCTTCCACTTTCTTCCTTGTAATGTCCCTAATAAACTCTATGCCACATCTGCACCCTGTGACACTGGAGGTCTATAATGATGCTTTTACAAGATATTCCAGTAGAACAATTTTCTTACTCTAAGGCTATTTCCAAAACTTTTACAAAAAAGAGCCATTTGAGAGTTAAGGTATTGATGAAAGATTGCACACCTGTCTCTTCTCCCTATTGTGTCAGACATCTTCGACTAAAATAATCACTCTAGGTAATAATTCAGCATTCTAAAAGACAAGCATGATTATCATGGCTTTATTTCACATGCAGAAATAGTTCAGTAACAACAAAAATTTTCTAGAGAGAATGGAAACCCTGTAATAAATGGGAAGAGCACAGATGTTAATCGGACCTGGAGTCTCAACGCGATTGCATTTGTTTAGAAGCTAAAAAGTCCTAGATCAAGTCATATAGCCATGTTGAGTTTCAGTTTTTTTCATCTGCAAATGAAAAAATGCATGTCACAATAAATTGGAGTAAGAACCAGATAAAAATAGTTGATGTGGAATGTCAGGTATAGTTCTTTGGCACAGATAAAGTGAGTGCTCAGTAAATTGTATTCTTTCCTGTTTGCAGCTTTGAAGTCTTTGTTTTGTTTTGATTTTATGATGGAGAAAAAATGCCAAGAGTCAAGAATTGTGGGTAGGTCTAGAAAAAGAGAATGGCCCTAAGATCATAGCCAGCAAGAAAATGGCTACAAGTAGAAGGTAGTAAATACTTCCAACAACTTAAATGTATAAGGAAACATATCCTCCCCTAGAACTGCAAGGACATAGAGCCCTGTTGATCTATTTCTTACTGAGATCTGTATCAGACTTCTGATCTCCAGAAGTGTAGGATAATACATTTAAGTTGTGCATGTGATTAAGTTGATGGTAGTTTTTAATGTCAACAATAGAAAACAAATGCAGGCTTTATGAGTGAGGAATAGTGTCCAGGTGCTGTACTTTGGAATCACTCTTAAGCATGGTATGAATAATTTTGATTATCAAACGTATGAATGCAATGAATAATTTCTGAGTGAATTAATATAGAAGAATTCTCTCATTATATTAGATAAGGCCTCTGACATAGATTAAATTTAGTCTCTTGTGTCCCAGCAGAAATTGGTTTAAGATCTAAATGTATCTTACCAATAAATTCTACATTAGCCAGAATTGTAGTGCAAAAATCTATACTACCAATTTTGGTAGATTGTTTATTTTTCAGTTACTTGCTGCTTTTCTCCAGGAGATAATTGTATTTCTTTTCTTTGTAAATGGCCATGTTTCTTTTGGCCAAAACAGCAAGAGCAGAAATGACTGGTGCATTGTGTGAGGAAAAGCTTCAAGAGTATCACATGGTTCTACCATCTCTGTTTTCTCTCCATGATGAGAACAGCATGTCCCAAACAGGGCTGTCCTCTTCAGCTTAACTCTCTGAATTGAGCAAACCACAACTAACTCAAAAATAACGTGTACATATAAGTAAGAGATAAACACGTTCCTGTAATCACGAAGAAAGTTTTTGCCACTACAGAATAATCTAGCAAAAACTAACATAGAAAGCAATATGTAGAAGTGGAGTGTTTTGGTAATATAAAACCTAAATTATGTGACTTTATATTCTGGTAGAAAGCTTAATAAGACTTACAATTTAGCTTGAAAAAGAATGACCCAAGTTATGCAGCTATAGCATATTTGATAACATTATATAATGATATCACTGGAAATACAACAAATAAAGCTTATAAATGAATGTATTTTTCAAAAAATTAAAATAATGCTAAACCTGACTGCTATTAGATTTTTATCTCTAATGGCTTCCTTGGATAAATTCTGCAAGAAACAGTGAGCTCATAAAACAATAGGCTGTTGTGCAAGTACTGTAACTGATGTGAGTATTTCTCAGCTCCTATCAGTTAAAGAAGCTTTTTGTGACAAATGCTAATTAAATTCCACTTTATGATTATGGCAAAATCAGCAATGTAGGTAAAAATAATAACCTTACTGTAATCTCTGAATCAATTACTATGTTGCCCGCCAAATATTTTTATTTTAGCAGTACATCTCAGGGTAAAGGGACTGGAACCATAGCTCTCTTTTGGAAATCCTGTAAGCTAAATATATTGAAAATCAAATCAAGAGGGACAGGTGTGTCTCAAAAAGATTATGAGCATAGCTATTATCACATGGGAAAAAGATGAGAAGACAACCAAATTTTTGAAAGTGTTTATTCCTAAAAAAGACCAAAACCTGCATTAGAAAAAACTGTGACTCTGAACCTTAAAAGGATGGGTGGGCCTAACCTTCTAAATGCTGTAAGATAAGATTGCATAAGAATGATGCGATGGACTTTGGGGACTTGGGGGGAAGAATGGGGGGGCAGGGGTGAGGGATCTAAAATTACAAATATAGTGCAGTGTATACTGCTCAGGTGATGAGTGCACTAAAATCTCGCAAAGCACCACTAAAGAAATAACTTATGTAACCAAATACCACCTGTATCCCAATAATTTATGGGAAAAAAAGAAACCTTTAAAAGATAAAAAAGAGGGGAAATAACAAAACAAAAATAAAAGCTATAAGAAGAATGAGAAACGTAGTCATCTGATAAAGAGGATACTCTCTCCAATGTCCTATTCAGATATGGCCACAGAAGAAAATGGAGCAGGAATGGCCTAAAAGAAGGAGTGAGCAGACGTTTAGAAGAATAAACTTTGTTGTCACTGCTAAGGAGCATTACCAAAGCCTAATCAAAGAACATTCTATATTCCTAGGTTACCTGCCCAGTTTGTTTAAGCATCATTATAGATCACTGGCCTCCTATTTTCCCTTTTCCAAATGAGAATGTTATTTCCATTTCCCTGCCTTAGTTAGTTCCACCACCGTATGTTGGCTATGTGAAAGAATTGTAATATGATGTTGAACTTTAAGCCTGGTGATAAGATTTCACAGGTTATTTGATATATCATCTTGGTGAGGGAATGAATAAATTTGGGTTGCAAAATGGAAGAAAGTGAATACAATAAAGAACATGGAATCTTTTAGATTGTACTATTACTGCCAATTATTAGTTCTCCCTTCCAGTGGGGGAAATACTATTTCCCTGCTCTACTGGATAGCAGACTTCCTTATGTTACTTCACTAGGTACTCCACAGGGAGATCATTTAAAACAAAATTAAAAAGATGAAATCTTAAAATCAGCCAGAGAAAAATTACACATTACATTTAAAGAAGCTCAGATAAGTCTGGTAGCCTACTTTATAATGAACATTGAAAGCCAGATGTCAATAGAAGCATTTATTTAAAGTGTTAAAAAGAAAATACCTGCCAACCTAGAATAACATATATCTCCCAAATAAAGAACTGATGAAGGCATTTTCAGACAAACAAAATAAAGACTATTACCAACAGTCTTGACTTAAGAGAAATGCTAAAAGAAATTATTTGGGAAGAGCAAATTATATCAGAGAGAAACACAGAAATGTAGGAGGAAATGACAAATACCACAAAGGTATAAATATGCCATTAATCATAAATGATAATTGATTACACCAAACCTCAAGTGTACTGCTTTATGTAATTCAGAATACAGGTATACTGAGATTCATATGAATATCCAGGAAAGTTAGGAGAGGAATAAATGGAATGGAAGTCTGCAATATTTGAGCATTACTGAGGAAATGGTAAAAATAATTTGTAATGCATCTTAATAATAGGTCAAGTGTGCTGTTATAATTACTTGTATCACCACTCAAAGTGATGAAATAATATAAAATTAATAATTTAGTAGAGGGCAAAATGGAGTAACAAAAAATATCCTTTTAATAAAAATAAAGCAAAAAATGAAGAAAAATATAATGTGATTCAAATGGAAAGTTAAACTGATATAAATGAACCACATTATAACTTACATTAAATAAAAATAGACCTAATACACAAAATAAAAAGAATATTGATAACATATTGGTACCCCCAAACACACACATTGCTTTTAACACACCAACTTTAAATATATGGCCATAAAAATGTCAGAATTTAAAGGATGGGGATGTAACAGTAACTAAAATAAAGCTTTGGTAGCCACACTAATATCATATGAATATTTCATATAATTGTTCTGTAGAATTTAGTATGTATAAGTTATCTTTTAAATTCAATGGAAACTAAACCATCAACAACTGCAAAATCATGATTTTTGGACTTTCTTGTACCAATATAAGCCACCAGGTACATTCTGAGGAATTTAACAGGGAGCTGTATATATCCATATGTAAATATATCCATGGAAATTTTATAGCTATTCTGAGACTCTTTGGGATTAATATTAATGCAAGCCTCTTTGAGACCTAGGGCTACTTACAGATGTTGCACAGGTGCATGTATGTATGTATTTTAATGTTGCCTGCTTTTCAAAAGAAGATGCTATTAAGAACCTTGTGTTTCAAATAGTAATTAAGGATCAATCTTCACATATGTACATTTGTTGCCTTGCAGCTTTGGTGAACCTGCACTGTAATAGCAAAATAGGAAGGGAAGTAAACTTAGAAAGCTAAGAATGGCAAACTTGTCTGTCAAATAAGGCTGAAACCCACACAAACACATGATTATATTTTATTAATGTACTAGTAGGAATAAATATCCTAAACTTAGCAAAGATAAAAAATATGTGCAAGAGGAACCTATACTATCAGATTTTATGCTTTTTTAAAATTAAAAGCTAGAAATGAGAAAGCAAAATATACTTGTGTTATGGTACTTTTTGCATATCCATGTAAATTTAGGTGAGGTTATTACTCCTGATATTATTACAGAAAGATTTTTAGCTGAATTATATTTTCTTTGACCTTGTTTAGCATACCCGATAGTGCACCAACATAGCGCAAAATGTGACTGAATAACTTATTTATGTCCCTATGCTGAGGTAAAAGATATTCAGGTATCCACATGTTTTTTGAACTTATATAATACACTCCTAGGCATTAAGAGAATAAACATGAATCTAGGGATCAGTTACAATTTCTGCTGCTATTTAACATTCAATATACAAATATAGCCTTATATATTTGAGGGATTAAATGTAACATGTTATGCTCCGATTTTCTACAAATATTTTGATATTTAATTAGTATAAATTATATTCTCTACTAGTAATTAATAAATGGTAGTAGTAAACCTGTCTTTTTGTGACCAAATTCTTATTTCCAACTTCTAAAATATGGACAGTACAGTTGGTGAGTGATGCCTTTTTCCACACTCACTTTCATCACATAAACATTAAAGGGGGATCACAATCTCACATAAGACTGGCATTCAACTCATTTAGCTGCTGACCCTTGATAAATAATGTGATACTGGGTGCATCCTCAAAACACTGTCACACTAAAGAAGTTTTATTATAATTAAAAATAAATTGAAAGGCTATTAAAAGCTTAAAAGTACAGTATATTGAAAGTATGAGATTCCACACTAATAAAAGGCATTGCTATTGCAGTGACTTTTTTTTTACTAAGTTAGAGTGCCCTAAATGAGATTGTACAAATATAAAAGGATATGTACAGTATTCCTAAAATAATTTTTATATAAGTGTAAAGGGCACGCTATTATAAAGAGACCTCCTAAATACTGCATAAATGGTTATATTGTAACACTAAAGTTTGTTCAACTAGAAAGCTATTTTTTCTATTTAGACTATTTCACTATCTAGTCAAATGAAGTAAATGGGTGATAACTTTTACAAAGAGAATCAACTGATAGAATTCATAAGGATTGTTGTAGGAGTCACAAAACTCCAAACTGACACCAGCAGTTGGTAGTAAAACCAATGATCCTTACCAGGATAAATAACCATGGGTACAGGAATGACGACAAAAGCAGGAAACGAAATCTCGGTCCTCTACAATTTCACTGTCTCCTCTTTTGACTTAGTAATCGAGTGGTAAAGGAAAAATAGGCTTGAAGACTCTACATCCAGCATCACCAACCAGAGGATAGAAGGGTAGGTTTGATGCTGAGAGAAAATACCTTAATAACTTGCAGACCCATTTAAGACAGAGCCCTATTTGATCCTAAATTATAGTCATCGAGATATAAATGTAAACAAGTAGAACTGCAAATCGTCATTCCCATTTAAATCTTTGAGGGACAGAATTATTTTAAAAATATATAAGAGAGTCATCACATATACCTTTCAAATGTTGTCCTGGAAATGTATTTCATAAATAAATGAGTTGATATATTAATTACATGCCAATGATTAAGGGCAGTCGATAGTGAGTAAATTTTTCCATTTTTATAAGTTATATCATATTTTACTTATATATATTTATTAGACTTGTATATTTTTGTTATACATACATGTATGTACAGATGGCTTCATATATACATATATGATGTACAGATAGTGTCATATAGACATATATGTATCTACAGAAAGATCATCAAATCTGTTGGTTACAAATCACATACACTAAAACTTACCCTTAGCTTTACACTTCTATGAACTTTAATAAACGTATAGTTGAATATCCACCACTCTAATCAAGATATGGCATATTTTCTTTACCCTAGAAATTTCACTTATGCCTCATTCCAATTAATCAATCCTGGCTGCTTCAGCCTAAGCTCCTGGCAATTATGGACTTATTTACTATCCTCATAATTTTGCCATTTCCAGAATGCCATATCAATAAAAACATACATTATGTTTCCTTTTCAGTTTAGCCTTTTTATTCTTTTTTTAATGCACTTGAGATTTATCATGTTATTGCACATATTAGTTTATTCCCTTTTATTGCCTACAGCCTGCACTGATGGGGTGGGTCCCTCTGCTCGCCTTCCTTGTTCCCAGTCTTTCTCATTAGCATCTATCATAGGCTGATAGGGAAGAGTTGTGAATGAGGGTCAACATCCCATGTGTCTGGGTCTCCAGCTATTGCACACTAGCCCAAATTCGGCCTTTGGTAGTTTAATACAATTTTAGCTACTTTTTTCTTATAGACTCACATGATACTGTTTCCTCCTATGTTCTAATATAGTTAAGAGGGTTCATTTAACATGTTAGCTTGCCTAATTTTTTTCATTGTTGAAGTGGGAGTGACATTCTTTGTAGTATTCTACATACTAATTGTACGTAAAATGTATATTGTGTGTTTTAAAATAATGAATATGTACTGTATAAATGGTTTATTAAATGACATAAAGTATGTTTAAATCTTATAAAATACTTGGGTGAAGAAAGTGTAAATGTTGTTCTCAAAATTTATCCTTTTGCCAACAAAAGTATAATTAACACACTGTCATATACTCTGTTGTCAAATCCATAATTTTTAAAAAATGATGTATTTGTTTCAAAAAATAATTATCATTTTTTCTATTCAATATCTTAAGTTGGATTTTTTTAACATGGTCACTCCTTTCAAAATTTTATAACTATAATATTAAGTAATACATTTAATAATTATAGTAACACAAAAACGTACCTCTTTATTACATATCTCTTCTGCTCTAATCACTCTACTAGTTGCTTTAAAATCATTACCCTATTCTTTCCAGTTATCTCATATTGTAATTTTTATTGTATTTATAAATAATTTGTATACCAGTTACCTATTATTTCCTAACAAATTACCCCTAAATGTGGCATCTTATGACAATAAGCATATATTATGTCAAAGTTCCCTTGAGTCAGAAGCTAAAAATAGCCTAGTTGGGTGGTTCTGGCTCTAGGATTTGTCAGGAGTTTGTTATCAAGTTGTCAACCATAAATTTAGTCATCTCAAAACTTGACTGGGGCTGAAGAATCCACTTCTTGGATGATTGACTCTCATGGCTACTGACAGAGGCTTCAGCTGCTGGTCACCAACAGATGTTCTCATTTCTTCACTATATGAGCCTCTCTATAGGGCTGTTCAATTTCCTTATAACAACTAGGTTACCCCACAGTCAGTTTGTCAGAGGGACCAAGGCAGAAACCACATGTATTTTATGAAGGAGTTTTAGAATCCATACACCATCATTCTACAATATTCTATGATCACACAAGTTTTTATATCCAACTTGAGATAAGACTATATAAGGGTGTGAGTGGTATGGGGTGATTATCATTGAGAATAAGGGGAGATGCAACTTGGAGACTGACTAACATGACATAAGCCTAAATGAGCTCAAATAGCTTATAAGTAAATTAGTCAGATATAAATTCAAATTGGTCTGACTTCATAGCTACTGCTCACCCAATTTTCTCAGGTTACTTCCATTTGACCTCATCCTGTGATATGCAAAGTACTCTCTATATTAAGTCACTCTACATTTATATGTTTGAAAATTCTTATCAAGAAACTACAGTTAACAGTAAATATCAGGGAATTATTTTGCTAAATAGAGTATTAGAACTGGCCTTCAGATAATACTGGTAGAAAGAAACTGCACACTACCATGCAAGGTTTCCTCCATTTCTCCTATCTTCTCTTGGTGTATTGACTTCCTTCTCTTAGATAGGCTTCTTTCACTTGGCAGCTAGGAGCTGTCTGGTTATCTCTGTATTAATATTTTTAAAAACCCTTAGATATGACATAATTAAAACAGTAGTTTCCAGGATACTAGGAATGGCCTAATTCATGCCAGAAGACCACTCTAAACCTATTTCTGTGGCTAAGCAAGTGAGATTCATAAGAATTGTAACAGCTATTATTTGAACCACATAACCAAAATTTGTGCTGTTTTCTAGCTGATAATGTAGGCGTATTGGCTGTATGAAACAATGGATCCCTACTCTCTTTACTTTGCTTTTGAAATTTTTATGTATATGCCAGTTTAAGTTTTCACAATGCATTATTCTTGACTAAATGACTTCAGTAATTATAGAAGTGTCAAAAAACCATATACACCTGAATCATTTAAATATAAAGCACATGCTGGGGGTCTTTTATGCTCAATTAAACATTCATAGTCTACCTTCATTATATTAATGAGTATGGAAAGGCTGAAAGAAAAAGGAAATATGAGTTACTTTATATGTGACTGACACACATTTTGCACTTATCTCTTGTACTCATGTTCTTGCTTCATTATCCAAATAGACTGCACTGGCAAAATACAGTTCAAAGATTAAATTATTAAGAATTTCAAAATAGTGAAAGTAGAGCATTAAACCAAGTATAGGACCCTTGTGAGCACAGAACCCTGTGCGATTGCCCATGTCACATGGTCATGAAGCTGGCCTGGATAAGGTTGAAGTAGCAATGTATATCTGGATAATATGAGTTTCTGAAATTCAGCTGGGTGGTTTCTCATTTGCTCAATAGATAGTTATGCATGACTATAGTAAATTGTAAGACTTGAACCGTTTCTTTGATTATTCGCAAATTACCTGCTCTTCTTCATTAAGATTCCAAAAGTATAATTTATTAATAATTCCCATCTGTAATTTGGGCTGCTGATCACAGATAATATGTAAATAAAATATGAAAGCCAGGTGGCTCATGCCTGTAATCCCAGCACTTTGGGAGGCTGAGGTGGGTGGATCACCTGAGATCAAGATTTCAAGACCAGTCTGGCAAACATAGTGAAACCTCATCTCTGCTAAAAATACAAAAATTAGCCAGGCATGGTGGCACATGCCTGTAGTCCCACCTACTCAGGAGGCTGAGGCAGGAGGATTGCTTGAACCCCGGAGGTGGAGGTTCTAGTGAGCCCAGATTGTGCCACTGCACTCTGGCCTGGGTGACAGAGTGAGACTCCATCTCAATAAGTAAATAAATAAAATATGAATAATATATTCTTGTTTTCAGATTATTTCAAATTTCCAGATGCCTTTAACATGGCTGAAGCAAACAAACAAACAAACAAACAAACAAAAAAACTAATGTTCACTTTAAGCTAAATATGCAATCCTGGATAGTTAAGTAGAATTCAATTACTAATAAATAAATAAATAGTATAGTAATATAAGTATGATATTCTATTACTTTCTGAACACATCTATTGATGAAGATTCTGAGATGAGAGGTAATTTTTTACAATCAAACTCTTGATTGTAACAACACTTTAAACTTAGGTTCCTATTTTACTAAATAGGGAGAGGCAGTTTCTTTTTTGTTTGTGTGTGTGTGTGTGTGTGTGTGTGTGTTTTACTCTTTCCATTTTATTTTACGATAAAATGATAGTTTTAAAAAGAGAAAGGGAGGAAAATTCTTTTAAAATATAGATAGAAGAAGATATTTGTCTTTTACCGAATAAAACACTGAAAGTTTCCAAAAATATTGAGGTTGAATACAAATATATATTTCCTTAAAATTCTGATACCATGCACTCATATGTTTATTGCAGGACTATTTACAATGGCCACTTCTCTGCAACAGTGTATTACTGGAAACTCTAACCAGAGCAATTATGCAGAAAAAAGAAGTAAAACACCTACAAATTATAAAGGAAGAAGTAAAATTATCTGTTTGCAGATTGCATAACCTTTATTTTTTATCTTATTTATTTATTTATTTATTTTGAGACAAAGTCTCACTCTATCACCCAGGCTGGAGTGCAGTGGTGCCATCTTGGCCCACTGCAACCTCTGCCTCCCAGGTTCAAGCAATTCTCCTGCATCAGCCTCCTGAGTAGCTGGGACTACAGGTGCCTGTCACCATGCCTGGCTAATTTTTGTATTTTTAGTAGAGACAGGGTTTCACCATATTGGCCAGGCTGGTCTCGAACTCCTGACCTCAGTTGATCAGACTGCCTTGGCCTCCCAAAGTGCTGGGATAACAGACATGAGCCACCGTTCCCAGCCTAGATTGCATAATCTTATATGTAGAAACTGCTGAAACCTTCACAAAAGAGAAAAATACTGTTAGAACTAAAAAATAAATTCAATAAATGTGTAGGATATAAAATCAAAACACAAAAATCAGTTATGTTTCAATACACAGTCAATAAACTATGCAAGACCATCATGGCCTTTTACCTGTTTTATTTGAGATCATTATGATGCAGTAAAAATTTCTCCTGGATACCTGACCATTTTCACTATTCTCCACCCCCACCCTTCCTTTTAGAGAATTTTTTAAAAAAAATTTAATAGCTTTCCAGACACAAGTGGTTTTTGGTTACATGGATTAACTGTATAGTGGTGAAGTCTGGGCTTTTAATGTCCTCATTACCCAAGTAATGTACATTGTACTCAATAGGTAATTTTTTATCCCTTTCCCCTATTCCCGACTTTCCCCTTCTGAGTCTCTAATGTCCACTTTACTACTGTGTATTCCTTTATATACCCATAATTTATCTCTTGCTTTTAAATGAAGAGATGGAATGTTTGGTTTTCCATTACTGAGTTACATCGTTTAGGATAATGGCCTCCAATTCCATCCAAGTGGCTGCAAGAGACATATTTCATTTTTATGGCTGAGTAGTATTCCATGGCATGCATATAGTATTCTATGCTGTGTGTATAGTATTTCATGGTGTATGTTTACACACACATACACATATAATACACACACACACAGACACACACACACACACACACATATATATATATTCACATAGACATATTTTTTTCCCACACTATATTTTCTTTACTTTTCAGTTGGTGGGCACTTAGGCTGATTCCATATCTTTGTAATTGTGAATTGTTCTGCAATAGTCTATGAGTTCAGGTATCTTTTTGATATAATGACCTCTTTTCCTTTGGGTAAATTCCTAGTAGTGGAATTACTGGATCGAATGCTAGATCTACTATTAGTTCTTTGAGAAATCTTCATACTGTTTTCCATAAAGCTACTAATTTACATTCCCACCAACAATGTATAAGCCATTCTGAAGGGGGTAAGCTAGTATCTCATTGATGGCGACAGCGGGGTCTGTGTACTCCATGAGCCAGTAGGAGCCAGAAACATGCGGGAGCTGCATCCCCTACCGAGTTGTCAGGGCAGGAATCCCGCTCTCCCAGGGGCAGCAGCAGTCAAACAGCAGGGACTCCAGCCCCAGACATCCCTGCTTTCTCAGGGGCTCCAGGAAGTCCCCCAGCCCCCATAGGCTCAGAAGTGCCTGCTCCAGCAACCTGGCCTCTCCACACTCCTGGCACCTGCTCCAATTTCACAGCAAAGATGTGTAAAAGCCCGGGCATTGTGGCAACTCAGATGGGTGTGCACGCCCTTGAGGTAGCACTGACTCGGTCAGCCCCCACCACCACCTTGGCCCCCTCTAGACTTTGGGCACAGACGAGTATGGGAGGGAAGCTGGGGAAGTGATGAAGGCAGTCAGCCGGGCCTGCAGGCACACTTTAGCAGGAAGAGCCTGGGTGCCATGGACAGCATGTTGATGGCAGGAGACAGACACGTTTCTGAGCAGAGAGGGGCAGGTCCCCAGTGAAACTCCACTTTCAAGCCAGGGACTGCCTGAATCCTAGGAGCCCGGCTGCCAATTCAGGATTGAGTTCGTAGCCTGGAATGAGAATTTATGGTGCTTTTTCCTGGCCGCACGTGGCCACTCATGGACCAATCAGCAAGTACTTCCGCCCTTCTAAGGCCATAAAATCCCCAGACACACCCAAACTCACACAGACGTTGGAACTACCAGTTGTGCGGGAAGGAGCTATCCACTTTGGGTCTCCTCAACGTTGGGACAACCTGTCAATGGAAAAGAGCTACCCACTTCAGGTCTCCTCAGAGCTGTTCTGTCACTCCATGAAGCTCCTCTCCACCTTGTTAATCCTCCAGTTGTCTGCATACCTCATTCTTCCTGGACGCAGAACAACAACTCGGGACCCACTGAATGGTAGGACTGAAAGAGCTGTAACGCAAATAGGACTGAAACGCTCACTCCTCCTCCCCTCCCCCACCGCCCATGCTCTCTTGCTATTTTCCAGGTGATGAGAAGGAGGGAACAGATGAGAAAAGAGCTGCAACCCTTTGGGGAACCCAGACCTAGAAGCTCCCCTAGCCAGGGTTGTGACACCTTCTTTGTGGCTCTGTGTTTCCTGGCATCCCAAAGCTTCCAGGCACCACCGTCTTCCTCGGTGCCTGCAGTGGAAGCCGTTTGTATTATGCCTGGTCCAGCCACAGCCTTGCAGGGAGCCTGTTCCTGGGCCTGCACCTGGAGCTGTCTGGCCCACCGCAGTCAGCATGCCTGGCTGTGCGCGGTGGCCAGACCCCATGCTCGCTCACACACTCCTAGCCGTTTCGTGCCTTGTTCACCGTAGGGAGACGTGGGATCCAGGCCAGTAGAGCGAACTGAGCACAGCCTGCCGGGCCGAGTGGGCAGAAAGAGCCCAGAAGCCCCAAGCAAAACTCGGGCAATAGCTCCACTGGCCACAGAGGATTACAGCTGGAAGAGTGACATTCTAAGGATTCTGTGACACCATTATGGTTTTAATTTGCATTTTCCTGATGGGTAGTGATGTTGAAATTTTTTTAAATGTTTGTTGGCCATTTGTATATCTTCTTTCGAGAAATATCTATTCATGTTGTTTGCCCATATTTTAACGGGATTTTTCGTTTTTTTCTTGCTGATTCGAGTTCCCTGTAGATTCTGCATGTTAGTCCTTTATTATATTTATAGTTTGTAAATATTTTCTCCAATTCTGTAAGTTGACTGTTGATTATTTCTTTTGCTGTGTGGGGCCTTTTTAGTGTAATGAAGTATTATGTATTTATTTTTCTTTTTGTTGCATTTGCTTTTGGGATCTTTGTCATCCTACTTGATCGTGGTGGATAATCTTTTTAATGTGCTGTAGAATTCAATTTGCAAGTACTTTGTCGAGGATTTTTTTTGCATCAATGTTCGCCAGGGATATTGGTCTGTAGTTTTCTTTTTTGTGTGTACTTTTCTGGCTTTGGGATCAGGATAACATTGGCTTGTAGAATGAGTCAGAGTATATTCCCTCCTTCTGGATATTCAGAACAGTTTCAATAAGATTGGTAAGTGTTTTTGGAATGTCTGGTAGAATTCTTCTGTGAATCAATCTGGTCCTGGGCTTTTGGTGTTGTTATTGTGAGGCTTCTAATTACTTATTAAATCTCATTACTCATTATTGATATGTTCAGGATTTCTATTTCTTCATGATTCAAACTTAGGGAGCTGTATGTTTCCAGAAATTTATCCATTTCCTCTAGATTTTCTAGTTTGTATGTCTCACTCTGTTGCCAGGCTGGAATGCAGTGGCACGATCTCGGCTCACTGCAACCTCTGCCTCCCGGGTTCAAGCAATTCCTCTGCCTCAGCCTCCCAAGTAGCTGAGAACACAGGCACGCGCCACTACGCTTGGCTGATTTTTTGTATTTTAGTAGAGATAGCGTTTCACTGTGTTGCCCAGGCTGGTCTCGAACTCCTGAGCTCAGGCAATCTGCCTGCCTCAGCCTCCCAAAGTGCTAGGATTACAGGCGTGAGCCACCATGCCCAGCCACAAAAATATTTTTTTTAAAATATTTAAGTTATATAAAATTGTGCCACTTTAAGGCTTTTAGTTTACACTTACCCACCTCAAGTAGTTATAGCATTAGGTTGGCCAGTGTAAAAATTGTGGCTCCCTGTTGGGCAGACATGCAATCTTTACATCCAAAGGTTAATGAAAGGTGTATTTTAGTTTGATGGGTAGTTTTTTTATTTTTTATTTGTTATTTTTTTAACTTATCTGAACTTACAGAATTCAGAGTGGAACCCATCAAGGAATAGGGCAAAGAAAACATTCCCCATGCCTGGACTTAACATAGATAGATCCGAAAAAGGAGCAAGCCTACTTTACCTTAGGGCCTAACTTGGTATCACATACTTTTCACCTTTGGGAAAGGATACTAACTAAGCCAAAAGGTTAGCAGATTTAATTTTTCTTATCAGTTTGTCACTTAAGCTTTGTATTTGCCTTTTTAAAAGAGTCTTCAGAAATAGTAAAAATATTGAAATTGATTTAGGCGTTTGTGCATAATATATACCTTTTCAATGGGAGAAAGATGAGAGCTGGAGGCAGTAATTCATAATCTGAAAAACCATGTGCTGCAAGATACAGCAAAAGTTTAACTTCAGAGATGTGAATCTCAGAAGCTTGAAAAGACAAATGTTATCTTAAGACATTAAATTATCATTTAGGGAAAAAAAGACAGCATTTCTAACCTAAAACTTAAGAAATTAGGTGGATCCACTGGGCGCGGTGGCTCACACCTGTAATCCCAGCACTTTGGGAGGCTGAGGCAGGCAGATCATGAGGTCAAGAGATCGAGACCATCCTGGCCAACATGGTCAAATTCCATCTCTACTTGAAATACAAAAAATTAGCTGGGTGTGGTGGCGTGCACCTGTAGTCCTAGCTACTCGGGAGGCTGAGGCAGGAGAATCACTTGAACCCAGGAGTTGGAGGATGTAGTGGGCCGAGATCGTGCCACTGCACTCCAGCCTGGTGACGGAGCAAGACTTTGTCAAAAAAAAAAAAAAAAAAAAAAAAAGAAAGAAAGAAATTAGATGAATCTCAGGAAGAAATGTGGCAGAAAAATAAACTGTAGTGTAGAAGATGGCTTTAAAAAAAACAGATTTCAGAGTTAACAATCAAAGCCTTTTTCAATTTCACTAAAAGAAAATTAGTATTTCAAAAAAATTTTGCTCTAAACTAGGGGATCAAAGTTTTACTTATGTATTAGTGTAATTTAATATCAAAGCTCAATCTTTACAGTCCTAAAATCTCTCTTAATTATAGCCAACTTGATTACACACAAAATTCCTTTCATAAATTTACCCTTTATGAACCATTCTTTACCTGCTTAGACCTTTTATGCCATGCTTAGACTTTCTACTTTGTCCTGTGCTTTTTCTTTCTTAACCAGTCATTTTACTTTAGGACAGCAATGGATCACACAAGATTTTCACACAAAATTAATCTCTTTTATTTTCAACATTCCTTGCCAAGTGGATATCTTTATACCTATTTCTTCAAATTTCTCTCTCATACTGATTCCTTTATATCCTGTTTTTATTTTTTCCTAAATTCATATTTTGAAACAATTTTTAAGTAACCTCCACATTAAACAAAATTATTATTTGTTATCAAAAAACACATTTTAATTTATTTATATATGATTTAATCAAAAACACATCTTACTTTTTAAGGCACATTTTACATAAAGAATTATATATATATATAAATTAGAATTTTATCTCTTAGTAACATTACTTTTTTTTTTTTTTTTTTTTTTTTTTTTTTGAGACGGAGTCTCGCTCTGTCGCCCAGGCTGGAGTGCAGTGGCGCGATCTCGGCTCACTGCAAGCTCCGCCTCCCGGGTTCACGCCATTCTCCTGCCTCAGCCTCCGGAGTAGCTGGGACTACAGGCGCCCGCTACCACGCCCGGCTAATTTTTTGTATTTTTAGTAGAGACGGGGTTTCACCGTGTTAGCCAGGATGGTCTCGATCTCCTGACCTCGTGATCCGCCCGCCTCGGCCTCCCAAAGTGCTGGGATTACAGGCGTGAGCCACCGCGCCCGGCAACATTACTTTTTAGCAACCACTTGTTAACTATTTGTCACATCAGTATTGTATAGATGAGAACCATTTTATAATATTTAAAAACTCATTTTCCTGTAATATAATACTTTCATTTATTAATAAGCCCAAATATATTTAGTCTTTCTGTAAAATATAGAAAGTCAAGATTTTGATCTGTCTGATCTGAGAGTCTAACCTTTATAAACATGTATTTCATTTTTTTCTATTAGATCATAAATTCTTCAATTAACCGTTTCATCACCATAAGTAATTGTAAGTAATTGTTATTCAGAAAAATTTAAATTTGCATTCCCTAAAGGTGTCTAGGCTGTTGGTTACCATGGAGCTGTTGTAATTTGTAAAGTCGATAATTAGAAAGCACTTTAAAACCTTTTTATAATGTTGCCTGGAATGCCATAACCAGTAAGTTTTCAACATTAGTAGAAAAGTCATCACATTCAAAGTAGGCAGAAAAAAATAGAGTTAAACAGATTACTTAGAAGGCTCTACATGTTAACTCTGTAGTTGCAGGTTGTTTTTAGAGGTTTCAAATAAGCACCATTTGTGCTCTAAATTTATATGAATGTACTTTGCCCATCAATTTTAAAATGTTCATGAGAATAAGGCACAACATAGGTGGCTAAAATCTCAGAAAACTTGGCATGCCTTGATGTTTGAGAATCTTATTTCATTTTCATAAGTCTTTTGAGAGCAATAAAGAGCCTGTAAGTCCCATTAGATAATGGTTAGAAGTTTGCATATATGTTATAGATGGTGGCAACTGTGCTAATGCTTTTAATCACCGTGCATTCACTGTTTAGAATGTCTGTTTTGCTATTGGAAGATTTTCAGGAACAAGCAAGTAAAAAAGCCATATTATTTACAGATGTGTGTTACCAAAAAGAAAACAAGGTATAAATATTCACAAAAAAATTTATCAAAGTATGCAGATCAAACATAACATTAAACTAGGCATGCAAACCAAAAGTGAATTCACCAGAAAAGGCATGTCTCAGAGAAAGAATTAAAGTTCTGTAGAAAGCAGAGTACTCAAACCAGAAAGACATTTGTCTTTATACCAAAAAGCACTTCTCAGAAAAGGCAAAAGACTTTAATGATCTAAGGAGAAATGTAAAGTCTTTTATTAAGGAGGTGCTTATAACCAAACCAAATCCTAAATCCCAAATTACAACCCTACTGAATACCAACAAAAAGTATCTACCAAAAAGAGAAAGGCTTAGCCTGAGAGAAGACTCACCAGGGCAAAAAAATGAGCCATGGAAACAGAGAGGTCAAAGCGTTCAAGTGTTTACTGCATACCAGTTCCAAGTGTTGGGAGCAGGCCCCCCAAAATCTAGCCATAAACTGGCCATAAACAAAATCTCTGCAGCACTGTGACATGTTCATGATGGCCATGATGCCCACGCTGGAAGGTTGTGGGTTTACTCTCTAAAAGGAAATGATTTTAATTCCAGAACAGGACATTGCAATCCGATTGCAGGTGCTATAGTAAACTACCTACGTATTCAGGAGGTAAAAGAAGAAAAGGATTTAAAGAAAAAAATTAGGAGGATTACATAATTGTTTTGAGATAATTACCCTAGGCTACAAGGAAAAATAATGAGGATAATACGAATCCAAGATTGGACATGCAGTTGTTGGGAAAATGTCCTTGCAGGAGACTTTTTTCGTGCATAAGTTTGTGATGGGATTTGAGAAAGGTTGCAGTTTTTGAAATCTTTTGTGATAGTTTTGTTATAACAGATGCAAACTGAGAACCCTGTCTTCACAAAGCCTTCGCCAGCCAGGCGCAGTGGTGCACCCCTGTAGTCTCAGCTACTCAGAAGGCTAAGGCAGGAAGATGGCTTGAGCCCACGAGTTTGAGCCAGCCTGGGCAACACAGTGAGACTTTATCTCTAAAAATAATAATAGTAATAAAATAATTAATAAAACAATTCCATTTACAACAGCATAAAATATAAAATAAAATACTTAGATGTAAGCTTAAGCAAAAAAGTATTAATAAAAGACTTCTATGCTGAAAACTGCATAATATTAATGAAAGAAATTAAAGACCTAAAATAAATGGAAAGATATTCTGTTTTCCTGGATTGGAAGATTTAGTAATGTTAAAGTACCCATACTATCCCTAGAGATCTACAGATTCAATGCCACCCCCATCCAAATCCCAAGGACATTTTCTTTTTTACAGAAATAGAAAAATAATTTTACATTCCTACAGAACCACAAAAGACCCAAAATAGCATAAGCAATCTTGAGAAAAATGAAAAAGGTACAGACATCACACTTTCTGGTATCTAAATACATTACAAAGTTGCAGTAAATAAAGTGTTATGGTACTGACATAAAGACAGACATATAGACGTGTGAAACAGAATGGAGATCCTGTAAATAAACTCACACATATAATGGTCAACTGATCGTCAACATGGTCATCAAGAATATACAATCGAGAAATAAAATCTCTTCAATGAATGGTGTTAGAAAAAACTGGATATCCACATTCAAAAGAATGAAATTGGCCCTTATCATATGGCATACAAGAAGAACATTAAGACACAGTTAATTATAGCCTTACATGTAAGACTTAAAACTCTTAAAACTCCTATAGGAAGACCTAGGGGGAAAGCTTCTTGGGGATTGGTCCTGCCTTGGTTTCCTGGATATGACACCAAAAGCGCAGCCAACAACAACCAAATAGATAAATGGTATTATGCTAAACTGAGTCATTTCTACACAGCAAAGAAAATAATCAACAGAAAGTAAAGGGAAACTATGAAATGGAAAAAAAATGTTGACTATATATCTGATAAGGAGTTGGTATTCAAAATATATGAGGAACTCCTACAACTCAATAGCAGAAAAACAAATTACAAGAAAATGGGCCAAGAACTTGAATAGACATTTCTGCAAAGCAGACATAAAATTGTTCCAGGTAAATTAAAAGGTACTCAAATTAACAAATCACTAGGTAAATGTAAATCAAAACCAATATAAGATATCACCACATATAAACCATAGTAGCTACTATCGAAAAAACAAAAGACAATAAATGTTGGTGAGAAACTGCAGAATATGGATTTCTTCTACACTCTTGGTAGAAGTGTAAAGTGGCGCAGCCACCATTGAAAACAGAATGGAGGTTCTTCAAAAAGTTTAAAAAACAGTCATATGACCAAGCAGTTCCACTTCTGGATACATACCCAAAAGAACTGAAATCATTTTTCAACTCCCATTTATGAGTGAGAACATGTGATGTTTAGTTTCCTGTTTCTGTGTTAGTTTGCTGAGAATGATGGTTTCCAGCTTCATTCATGTCCCTGCAAAGGACATGAACTCATCCTTTTTTATGCAAGCATAGTATTCCATGGTGTATATGTGCCACATTTTCTTTATCCAGTCTATCATCGATGGGCATTTGGGTTGGTTCCAAGTCTTTGCTATTGACAATAGTGCCGCAATAAACATAGGTGTGCATGTGTCTTTACAGTAGAATGATTTATAATCTTTTGGGTATATACCCAGTAATGGGATTGATGGGTCAAATGGTATTTCTGGTTCTAGATCCTTGATTAATCACCACACTGTCTTCCACAATGGTGGAACTAATTTACACTCCCACCAACAGTGCTCCTATTTCTCCACATCCTCTCCAGCATCTGTTGTTTCCTGACTTTTTAATGATCACCATTCTAATTGGTTTGAGATGGTATCTCATTACGGTTTTGATTTGCATTTCTTTAGTAACCACTAATGATGAGCTTTCATATGCTTGTTGCCTGCATAAATGTCTTCTTTTGAGAAGTGTCTGTTCATATCCTTTGTCCACTTTTTGATGGGGTTGTTTGTTTTTATCTTGTAAAATTGTTTAAGTTCCTTGTAGATTCTGGGTATTAGCCCTTTGTCAGATGAATAGATTGCAAAAATTTTCTCCCATTCTGGAGATTGCCTGTTCACTCTGATGATGAGGGGAACATCACACACTGGGTCCTGTCGGGGGGTGGAGGGCTAGGGGAGGGATAGCATTAGAATAAATACCTAATGTAGATGACAGTTTGATGAGTGCAGCAAACCACCATGGCAACTGTATAACTATGTAACAAACCTGCACATTTTACACATGTATCACAGAACTTAGACTATAATAAAAAAGTAGCAATTCAATTCAGACAGAAAAGATGGCATGTACGATCATGCAATGGACATAATCTCTACTTCATACATCTTCAAAATAATCTGTAAGATTATAATATAAAAAGCAAATTTAAGAGAATACTTGTTTACTCTCAGGATGTTGCAGACCTTCTTAAGTCAAAACACCCAGAAGCCATAAGGGAAGAAGAAATAGATTTGAACAAATAATAAAATATTTGAAAATAAAAAGTAGACCATAAAAAAGTTAAAAGATATATATAGGGAGAAAATGTTAGAAAAAAATAGACAAAGGGCAGGAACAGCCATTTTACTGAAAAGGAAATGCAAATGGTAGCCAAAGACAAATTTAAACTTCTTTTTATTATTATTATACTTTAAGTTCTGGGATACATGTGCAGAATGTGCAGGTTTGTTACATAGATATACACGTGCCATGGTGGTTTGCTGCAACCATGAACCCGTCATCTACATTAGGTGTCTCTCCTAATGCTATCCCTCCTATAGCCCCCCACCCCCTGACAGGCCCCAGTGTGTGATATTCCCCTCCCTGTATCCATGTCTTCTCATTGTCAACTCCCACTTATGAGTGAGAATATGCAGTGTTTGGTTTTCTGTTCCTGTGTTATTTTGCTGGGAATGATGGTTTCCAGCTGAGAATGATGGTTTCCAGCATCATCCATGTCCCTGCAAGGGACAGGAACTAATCCTTTTTCACAACTGCATAGTATTCCATGGTTTATATGTGCCACATTGTCTTTATCCAGTCTATCATTGATGGGGATTTGGGCTGGTTCCAAGTCTTTGCTATTGTGAACAGTGCCACAATAAACATACATGAGCATGTGTCTTTATAGTAGAATAATTTATAATCTTTCAAGTATATACCCAGTAATGGGATTGCTGGGTCAAATGGCATTTCTGGTTCTAGATCCTTGAGGAACTGCCACACTGTCTTCCAAAATGGTTGAACTAATGTACACTCCCACCGACAGTGTAAAAGTGTTATTTCTCCACATCCTCTCCAGCATCTGTAGTTTTCTGACTTTTTAATGATCGCCATTCTAACTGGCATGAGATGGTATTTCACTGTGGTTTTGAATTGCATTTCTCTAATGGCCTATGATGATGAGCTTTTTTTCATGTTTGTTGGCTGCATAAATGTCTTCCTTTGAGAAGTGTCTGTTTATATCCTTTGCCCACTGTTTGATGGAGTTGTTTTTTTTTTTTCTCGTAAATCTGTTTAAGTTCTTTGTAGATTCTGGATATTAGCCCTTTGTCAGATGGATAGATTGCAAAAATTTTCTCCCATTCTGTAGGTTGCCTGTTCGCTCTGATGATAGTTTCTTTTGCTCTGCAGAAGCTCTTTAGTTTAATCAGATCCCATTTGTCAATTTTGGCTTTTGTTGCTGTTGCTCTTGGTGTTTTAGACATGAAATCTTTGTCCATGCCTGTGTCCTGACAGGTATTGGCTAGGTTTTCTTCTAGGGTTTTTATGGTTTTAGGTCTTAAGTTTAAGTCTTTAATCCATCTTGAATTAATTTTTGTATAAGGTGTAAGGAAGGGATCCAGTTTCAGCTTTCTGCATATGGCTAACCAGTTTTCCCAACACCATTTATTAAAAAGGGAATCCTTTTCCCATTGCTTGTTTTTGTCAGGTTTGTCAAAGACTAGGTGGTTATAGTTGTGTGGCGTTATTTCTGAGGCCTCTGTTCTGTTCCATCAGTCTATATATGTGTTTTGGTACCATACCATTCTGTTTTTGTTGCTGTAGCCTTGTAGTATAGTTTGAAGTCAGGTAGCATGATGCCTCCAGGTTTGTTTTGTTTTTTTTTTTTTACTTAGTATTGTTTTGCCATGTGGGCTCTTTTTTGGTTATATATAAAATGTAGTTTTTTTCCAATTCTGTGAAGAAAGTCAATGGTAGCTTGATGGGGATAGCATTGAATCTATAAATTACTTTGGGCAGTATGGTCATTTTCACAATATTGATTTTTCCTATCAATGAGCATGGAATGTTTTTCCATTTGTTTGTGTCCTCTGTTATTTCCTTGAGCAGTGGTTTGTAGTTCTCCTTGAAGAGGTTCTTCACATCCCTTGTAAGTTGTATTCTTAGGTATTTTATTCTCTTTGTAGCAATTGTGAATGGGAGTTCACTCACGATTTGGCTCTGTTTGTCTGTTATTGGTGTATAAGAATGCTTGTGATTTTTGCACATTAATTATGTATCCTGAGGCTTTGCTGAAGTTGCTTATCAGCTTAAGAGATTTGGGGCTGAGACGATGGGGTTTTCTAAATATACAATCAAAAACAAAGTCCAGGACCAGATGGATTCACAGCCGAATTCTACTAGAGGTACAAAGAGGAGCTGGTACCATTCCTTTTGAAACTATTCCAAACAAGAAAAAGAGAAAATCCTCCCTAAGTCATTTTATGAGGCCAGCGTCATCCTGATATCAAAACCTGACAGAGACACAACAAAAAAAGGAAAATTTCAGGCCAATATCCCTGATGAACATCAATGCAAAAATCCTCAATAAAATACTGGCAAACTGCATCCAGCAGCACATCAAAAATCTTATCCACCATGATCAAGTCAGTTTCATCCCTGGGATGCAAGGTTGGTTCAACATACACAAATCAATAAACGTAATCCTTCACATAAACAGAACCAATGACAAAAACCACATGATTATCTTAATAGATGCAGAAAGGCCTTAGACAAAATTCAACAGCCTTTCATGCTAAAATATCTCAATAAACTAGGCATTGATGAAACATATCTCAAAATAAGAGCTATTTATGACAATCCCGCAGCCAATATCATACTGAATGGACAAAAACTGGAAGCATTCCCTTTGAAAACCAGCACAAGACAAGGATGCCCTCTCTCACCACTCCTATTCAACATAGTATTGAAGGTTTTGGCCAGGGCACTCAGGCAAGAGAAAGAAATAAAGGGTATTAAAATAGGAAAAGATGAAGTCAAATTGTCTCTGTTTAAACTTGTTTTTAATCATAAGAAAAATTAAAATGACCTGGAGAGGATATGGGAGAAAGAGACGCTCTCAGTCTCACTAGTGAGAGTAAGAATTGCATCTTCATTCATCCTTAACACTTACTCGGCATGTATGCTAAGTAATATGTAGAGTGTATTAAAATATATTTCCAAGAAACCAAACAGTACAAGATAACACAGGAGGAGACTATTATCTTCATGGCCTTTGATGCTTAAAAAGTATTCAATAAAACTCAACAAGTATTCCCCAACCAAATCCTAGAAAACAAGGATTAGAGGAATATTTTCTTAACATTAAAAAGCTATGAGTAATTATACAGCCAAAGCCAATGCTGAATGCATTACTCCTAAAATTAGGATTAAAAAAAACCCAGATACTTTCTGTTTATGAAACTCTAGTATAATTACACTACAAGAAGAAATAAAAAAATAGAGTGCCTTTTAGCAAGGTAATATGCTATGTACTTGAAGCACATGTAACAATCCACTGGAAAAAAAATATTTGACCTTGAAAATATGTATTAACGCACTTAGAAAACATAATAAAAAATAGATATTTCAAGCCAGGCAAAAAAAGATAAACATCACATGTTCTCACTTATTTGTGGGATCTAAAAACCAAAACAATTGAAATCATGAGCATAGAGTAGAAGGATGGTTACCAGAGGCTGGGAAGGGTAGTGAGAAGCTGGTAATGAGATGGGGATGGTTAATGGGTAAAAAAAGAAAAGGAGAAGGAGTAATACACACTATTTAATAGCATAGCATGGTGACTATACTCAATAAGAGCTTAATTGTACATTTAAAAATAACTAAAAGAATGTAACTGGATTGTTTTAACACAAAGGATAAATGCTTGAGAGGATGGATAACCCATTTTCCATGATCTAATTATTTCACATTGCATGCCTGTGTCAGAATATCTCCTGTACCCCACAAATATATATGCCTACTATGTACCTAGAAAAAATAAAAATAAAAACGATTTTTAAATAAAACAACTGAAATCAGAATACTGAAGGTATATCTACACTTCCATGTTCATTGCAGCATTATTCACAACAGCCAAGATACAGACATAATCCAAGAGTCCATTGATGGATGAATGGTATACAAATTGTGAATATACACATACAGTGAAATATTATTCAACCTTAAAAAAGAAGAAAATCCTGATATTTGCAACACAAATGAATCTAGAGGACATTATCCTAAGTGAAATAAGCCAAATACAAATAAGCTTTGTAAAATAGTCAAACTCATAGAAGCTCAAAGTAGAACAATAGGTTTCAGGGGCTTGGGGAAAGAGAAATGAGGAGAGAAAATGATTGTCCAATGGGCATAAAGTTTTAGTTATACAATATGAATAATTCCTAGATAAATGCTCTACAACATTGTGCTTATAGTTAACCATACTGTATAGTGTACTTAAAATTGCTGTGAGGGTAGATATCATGTTAAGTGTTCTTACCATACACGCAAAAAAAAAAATGAGAAAACTTTTGGAGTGATTCATATATTTGTTACCTTGATTGTAATGATAGCTTCATGGGTACATGAATATGTCTGAACTGATCAAATTGTATACGTTGAATATATTCTGTTTTGTATATAAATCATACTCCAATAAGTTTGTTTGTTAAAAAATAAATAGATAAGACATACTAGCCAAGCAAACAACTAAAAAAACATTACTAGAAACGTAAGGGTTGGTTAGATATTAATACCAATTAAGTTTAGCCACAAAGTAAACCCATACCTACCTGCCAGCTCTTTCCCATAGGCCTTCACCAAATATATACTGAAGGTTGTAAGCAGAGGAGAGATGAGAAATAAATCATACAAGATGTGTAGGGACTTGTTCAAGTGCAAATTAGTGGAAAAGCTGAAGGCTATGTACAAAACAAATGTCCAGAAATCCTTTTGAAGCAATTTTGATCCTGACTAAAAGCAAGTTATTAGTTCCAGATAGCTGGGGATGAGGCAGCAAGGGATGATAAGATCTTCTGTGGTGAAAAAACAGAGTTAAAGAAAACTCTATGATTTCCAGAGTGTTGTTGGTACTTAGACACCAAGCGTATCTGAATGGATAGTGCTGTACAATCTCTCGATATGTCTGAAGCCAATGCCAAAATAAAACCATCTAAAGCTGTATGATGATTCAAGCTAAAAAAAAAAAAATGCAGATGATCCAAAAAGCTGGCAACTGAACTAAAACAAAGCAAAACAAAGAGAGACAGAGAGGAAGAGAGATACATTGATTTCCAGAGTGTTGTTGGTACTTAGACACCAAGCGTATCTGAATGGATAGTGCTGTACAATCTCTCAATATGTCTGAAGCCAATGCCAAAATTAAACCATCTAAAGCTGTATGATGATTCGGGCTAAAAAAAAAAATGCAGATGAGATTAATCCTTCACTCAATACAAGAAGTCTTACAAGAAGAAACATGCAATTTTCTGGAGAAAAATGTTACTTCAATCTTTGCTGTTTGCTTACGAATTTATTTATCATAAATTAAAAAATAATGAGATGTGAAGAAGCAAGAAAATCTAATACATGGTTAAGAAAGAAAACATACAATAAACAGCTGATACGAAGAGAGTTCAGATGTTAAAATTCACATATTGGATCTTTAAAATAATTGTTACAGATATATGAAAGCATTAATTGGAAAATGAAAACACCATGTTTAGATACATGGAAAAAATGGCAACTATAAAGGATATAAATAGAATGTCAGGAAATAAAAACCCATGATAGAAGAATAAATAATTCATTTAATAGAATTAAGTGCAAACCTTATGCCACAGAACTCAATGAGGAAATAATAGTTTTTTTTCAACAAATGGTGTTGGAACAACTGGATGTTCAAATGTAGAATAATAAATTTGAACACCTACTTCATACCACATACAAAAATTAGCTCCAGATAGATCAAAGATCTAAATGTAAGAGCTAAAAGTACAAAACCATTAGAAGAAAACAGAATAATTTCTTGTTCTTTGGGTGATGAAATCCTTTTAGAGCAAAGAAGGAAAAAATATAAAAAATAGACTACCAAATTTAAAAATATTTTTGCTGTAAATGATACTATCTACAATTTGATACTATCTACAAAATGAAGAGAGAACATACAGAATGAAATAAAATATTTGAAAATTGTATGTCTGAAAAAGGACTCATATCTAGAACATATAAACAACTCTTACAACTCAATTATACAAAGACAAATATTCCAATTAAAAACTATGTAAAAAATTGGAATATATGCATTTCCCAAAGAAGATATATGAGTCCAGTAACCATGTAAAATGATGCTTAATATCATTGACCATTGAGGAAATGCAAATCAAAACCATAAGGAGATACTGTACTATCTCTCAGATGTGTGCACTATAAAAGGTAGATAAGGGCTGTAGACAAGGAAAAATTGGAAACGTAATACATTGCTGCTTGAAATTTTAAAATGTACATATCCTTCAGAAAAAAATGTTCAAAATAAAGCTGTCCTATAATCCAACATTTCAATACTCAGTTATGTACCAAAAAGAAATAAAAACCTATGTCCACACAAAAGCTTATACATGGAAGTTCATAGCAGTACTATTTATAACAGTCAAAAAGTGAAATTAAGCCAATTTCTGTCAACTGATAAATGTATGCAAAATAAAGTGGCATATTGTTACAACGAAATATGAAATGTTAATAAAAGTGAGTAAATACTGATAAATGCTACAACATGGATAAACTTTGAAAACATCAAACTAATTGAAAGAAGTTAGCCACAAAAGACAACATATTTTATTAATCCATTTATATGAAATGTCCTGAAAGAGAAACATGCAGAGATAGGAAGCATAGGATTAGAAGGCAGAGAGGGTGATGGGGAATAGCTGCTAATGGTAAAGGATTTATTTGGGAGTGGATGGAAATTTTCTAAAATTAGATTATAGTGATGATCGCCCAATTCTGTTAATATACAAAAATCCTGGACTTGTACACTTTAATGAATTGTGTGATTTTTGGATTGTATCTCAATAAATCCTTAGGAGGAAAATAAAAAACAGACCTCAGTCGAAGAGGAAAAGGTTAGTAAACATGGTATCAATAAGAATTGTACCACATTTATATGTAATTGGTGGCCTAGAGGAGAGGAGGGAAAACAGACTGAAAGAATATTTGAATAGATTTTCTAAAGTATTTCTATTAGTTTGCTAGGGTTGCGATAACAAAGAAGCACAGACTGGGTGGCCTAAATAACAGAATTTTATTTTCTCATCATTCTGGAGGTTAGAGGTCAGATATCCAAGGGTTGAAAGAGTTTTGTTTGTTTGTTTGTTTCCAAGGCTGCTCTCCTTGGCGTGGAGATGACTGTCTTCTTTCTGTGACTTCACATGCTTTTCCCTCTGTCTGTGTCTGTGTTCTAATGTTCCCTTCTTATAAAGACATCAGTCATGTTGGATTATGGACTACCCTAATAATTGCATTTTAATTAACTAATTAACTGATCTGTCTTCAATTAAAACCACATTTTGAGGCATTGGGGATTAGGACTTCAACTGATGAATTTCGAAGGCATACAGTTTAGCCCATAGATGTAATTTTTCAAATTTATTAGTGTCATCAATTCAAGATGCTGGAATCTTTGTAAAACACATCCATTTCTTAAAAATGCACCTCAACATATCAAAGCCAAAAATGCTTAAACTAATAAAAGAGAAAAATCTATTAAAAGAAGCCAGAGGGGAATAAAATATTACATGTGAAAGAATGAGGATAGATATTCTCATTGAGTTCTAATTAGAGGAAGCCAGAGACAAATCTATTATATCTTTAAAATGCTGAAAGAAAAATCAGTGCCAGTCTAGAATTCCATGTAAGTGAAATATCTTTTAACAATAACGATGAGGGAGGACTGGTTCTGAAATGTATTATCATCCATCAGATTTCAATTACCAACACTAGATAAAATATATTAAAAAGAAAAACAAAACTACCATAGTTTGTTTTCTGTTTCTTATATCAGAATGCCTGAAACTGGGTAATTTATAAGAACAGAAATTTATTTCATACAATTATGGAGCTTAAGTCCAAAGTTGAGAGGCTGCACATAGTGAGAGCCTTCTTGCTTGCTCTCCGAAGAGCCCAGGGGCAGTGCAGGGTATCACATAGCTAGGGAGATGAGCATGCTAACACCCCATCTTAGGTCTCTTTTCCCCTTTATATAAAGCCACCAGTTCATTAAACCATACATTCATTAATACAAGACTAGATCAATCCAATCAGCAAGGCAGAACTCTCAAGATCCAATCACCTCTCAAAGGCCACAAATCTCAAAACTGCCACACTGGGGAAGCAATTTCACCATGAGTTTTGGAGGGTACAAATATTCAAACCATAGCACAAACCAGACACACACACAAACACACACTATTTCAAGTTAGTGCAGTGTGAAACAAAGTCCCTTTGTTATAGGATATCTGGAACTAAAACATAAAGCTTCACTCTATCCAAGGAGTCAGAGGACAGAGTGTGGGGCTGTCAGAATGTCTGGAAGGTGAAGGGTGAAGTCCAAAGAAGGAAGATGCCACCAAGGAAAGATCCCTAAAATATGCACATGGACTAAACCCCAAACATTGGCTGACGCTTGCACTGTGCATGAGTGAAGAATGCTACAAAAATACAATACAAAGCAATAGTTGGAAGGTGGAAAATATTGTGCAGAAACCCAGAGTTATGAATGGAATCCAGTCAAGTTAACTTCCTATTAAAATATAAATCATTTCTTCAAGGAACAAGAGAAGTGTCCAGAATGTCTAAAGTTAATTTATCACCATGTGTCATATATAAGAAAGTTTATTAGATGTGTGAAGAAACAGGAAATATATGATCCATGGCCAAGGGAAAAAGCAATCAATGGAAATTTGTGGATTAACAGGCAAGATTTTTAAAGCAACTCTTATACACATGTTCAAAGATTTGAAAATGTTTCCATTATGAATAAATAGAAGTTGTTTGAGCAGATAAATGTAAACTATACTAGTCAAATACAAGTTCTAGAAGTTAAAGGAACAATATATACAGTTAGAATAGCTTAATGAATGAAATTCATTAAGAAATAAAGGAAAAAGAAATAGCAAGTAAATTAAAGTTGATAAGAGAAAGGACCAGCAAACATGTAAACAGAAATTATTCCATCTGAGAAAAACATTATCAATAATTGGTATATAATTAATGACTTTTTGGTGTAATATCACACAGTATAACACACATAGGATCTTTAGAATGATAAAAAAGAAGAAAATGTAGCAAAAATTATTTGAAGAAATAATGTACAAATATTTTCTACGTTTGGTGAAAAAACCATGCAGACCTGAGAAGCTCACCAAATCCCTCCCAAAAAAATAACTGTGAAGAATTCAAAAGATAGGCACATCATAATTTAAGTCTGAAAAAAATAAAGAGAAAATCTTCAAAGTATCCAGAATAAAAAGAGACAAATCAGAACAGTGGTTTTCCTCTGAGTGCAGCATGGATTGCCTAGATCTCAGGGGCATGAAGATATTTCCAGGAGATGATAAAAATGTTCAGTATTCAAGTTTCGCTGATGATTACATGAGCATACACAATTATTCTTCAGTATTACTGATGGAGGAAACACCAACCTGGACAGACTTCTGCCACTGGGTGGAGGGTCAGGAGCTGTCTGGGTGCTTCTCTGCTACCGGGTGGATGTTCAAGAAATGCTATAAATGTCGTCTGCCTGCAGTTCCTTGCTTTGAATTATCTTTTCCTGCTGGTATAGGATAGGATCTGCTAGGTCTGAGTGACCTCTGCTCTTATAGGAAGGATTAAAAGACACTGCTTTGGAGTTGCAATCTGCCACTGGTTGGAAAGCCAGGAGGTACCTTGCCTGTTTTCATCTCCAGTAATAGAAGAGGAGCTTGCCTGCTGCCCACAGATGTGAGGCATCTTTTGGGTTTGCCTGTTCGGTTCCAATGTTGTTATTGTTGCACATCTTTTTAGGAGTGGGTTGGTCCTCATTCTCCAGACAGGTCAGGCTACTGCCTCCACTGGGTATAAGTCTCCCCATTAGGCACCTCCCCGGTTCCTCTTTCCTGTTATTTTGGCCAGAGGAAACAGGTCTTTCTTTTTCCTCCTCTCTCACTTTCCTGTCCTCCCCTTCCTTCCCTTCCCTTCCCCTTCCTTCCCTCCCCTCCCCTCCCCTCCCCTCTCCCCTCCTCTCCTCTCCTCTCCCCTCCCTTCCTTCCTTCCTTCCTTCCTTCCTTCCTTCCTTCCTTCCTTCCTTCCTCCCTCCCTCCCTCCCTCCCTCCCTCCCTTCCTTCCTTCCTTCTCTCTTGCTGTTTATTTTTCCTTTATTTTCTTCTTGGGTCTACACCTATTGTTGGTTGTTCATGGTTGCAGGTCCCTGGCACTCACATTGAGATATATGGGAATAGATAAAATCACAATGTCAGTGTTGTTCTTCAAATTCTGTAATTCGTAGCCAGTCCACTGTCTTATGTCTACTTCTTGGATTATTTCCACCTTTCCACGTTCTATAATTGTTAAATTATTTTCAGAATATTCAGCTGTATGTAGAAAAGAGGGATAGGAAAAAGTGAGTCTATGTCATCTTATCCCCAAACTGAAAGTACACATTATATTTTTATATTTCAAACAATAAACAGGTATCAAGCATAGAATTGCAAGATGCCACTCTGTAACTACCCAAAATAATGTTAACATTGTATTTTAATTGATCGAGATTCTAATTTTTAATAAATAAAACTTTGAACATAAACTTATGTCTTCTGTGTTACCTTTCTGTTTATAGTCCTCTCTTTTCCTCCCTAGAGGCAATCACTGTGTTGAATTATGTATAGAGATTGTGATTTCATACTTTTATTACAAATATGTGCATTCACATACATTATTATTGTTTGAAGTTTTAAAAAGATATATCATTGGTGTCTTATTGAGTATAATGATCAACAGGCACTAATTAGCCCTGCATGTGCTTCCCAACTCTTTTAAGATACTACACATGGAAACACAAGAACCACTGAGAAAATCTTGCATTTTCCCAAATAGCAGCAGAACCTAAGAATGGGGTGGATTGTAACATCTTTGAGCCTAGGCTATCTATGCCTTATGTCTGCTTTACTGGCAGGTGCTATTCTTACTGGTCTTCTATTTTGAGAAATCTTCAGACAAAAAGCAGGTGTCTGTCACCATGTTCATGTATGTCTCCAGACTCCAAAAGACACATGCCTCTCTATGCAGAACTATTTCATCCTACTCTGTTCTTTCCTCATAATACAAATTTTAGGTCTAGAGATTCCATTAAAAATGAATTCAACATGAATTTTCCTACTTTTATTCTCTTTGACTCTAACCAGTCTTCTTTATAGACTCTATTAGAGTGATGTGCTATTTAAACATAGATATTAGCAGCTATTAAGCTGTTGATAATAGAGTTGGTTCTATGATAGTAAAAAATAGAGATATCCTGCCTTATTATTTAGGGTCTAGCTATGTAATGTAAGTTGTATGTATTAGGGGATAAACTTTGGAGTATCCAGTTTATAGCTTTAAAGATTTAAATGAAAAAAATTATCTGCAGGCATTTTATTTCTGAATAATAGGGTGGTAAGAGGCATAAAGTTCAAATTTTCAAATTTTGAAACTCCAAGATTCTAATGAAGACTTAAACTTTAAAATGACTTGTTTAAAGTTAGAGTCATCACGTCCTAAAATTCCACTGAGAGATCTTGTCTCATTTTGAATGTCGTGATGACTAAAATTCCTCACCCACCTTACCATCCCCATAATCTACAGTAGCTCTGAAATGAAATTCCCTGTGAATTCTTCAGTTATTCTGAGTTGTAATGGGGGAGATATATTTAGTCATTACCTTACAACGAGAGTGAAATAGCAAACTCACTCCAAGAAGAATACATCTTTTGTTCTTTTCGCAAAATATCCCACAGCAGCTGTCTGTTGGCACTAAAAATTGCACCATACTTAAAGCCATGATTGTCAAGGAAAGAAGTTTCCCAGCACGCTGTAGTTTCTGTCTCTGTATAGAAACAATGCCTTTTTCCTAGATTTATTCTTGTTATTAAGTTCTACATATTTAGAAATTAACAATTTTAACAATTTTTAAAAATTACTCCTATTGTTTAAGGTTGTTTATGGTATAAACTCTGAGAAGATGTTCTTTTGGAAAGGAAAATATTTTCAAATGTGTTGTTATGATTTCCTTTCTGTAGGCTTTGTCTTATATTTTGAAAATTTGTGTTTATGCCTTTATTACTTAACAACGTCTCAGATAACTTGTCCCCACTCTGATACTGAAAATAAGCATGTATACAGGACATTTATCCACAATTGATAGCACTGTGCATTTCTAAGTCTGGAAAGCACATCAAAAGAAATACGGGTGTTAATGTGACATTTTGACTTTGTGAGCTAGAAGGTCACTTGAGTAATTAATGCTAGATAAACCCATAGGACAGGCTGTTGTGCTGTGATCATTCTAGCAACATCTACTGTGACTAACAAGCACAGAGCAAAAGAAATGTATTTATAAATTATAAAACTCTTTTAAGCTATATTTTAAGTACTGTGGGATTCCTCAAACTTCAGTAGCTTTTGAGAGAAGGGGCTTGGACTAATTTTATAAATAATACAAAAAATTACAAAAAAGGATTATGTGCATCAATATATAACTTGAAGAGAGCTATCACATATTTGCTTTACAGAAATTCAGTTAACTCTGAGCCTCCTGAAATGAAGGGAATACATGTATGCTCACCAATGTTATTTCCCCGAAGCACGGTGCCACATACAGTGTGTATATAAGTAATGTATCATTTTAAACAACATGTTACAAGAATCTGTAGCTTTCCTGAAAAAAGAAAATTAAAACAGCTTTCTTAGAAAGCTACAGAAAATAAAACAATGCAGTATTGGCATAAAGATAAACACATAGAACAATGAAATATAAGTAATAGTCCAGAAATAAATTCATACATCTATTCCTTATTGAATTTTTACAAGGGTTTTGAGACCATTCAATAGGGAAATAATAGTCTCTTCAATAAGTGGAGCTGGGATAACTGGATATTCATAAAAAAAGAATGAAATCAGACTTCTATCTCACACCATATATGAAAATTAATTCAAAATTGACCAAAAAAATTAAAAAGCCAAACTCTAATGTGCTTAGAAATAAACAAACTATTAAACCTTGGAATTTGCAGTGGATTGTTTGATATGAAACAAAAAGCACAAACAACAAAAGAACAACTAGATAAATTGGACTTCATAAAAATAAAAAATTGTATGCATTAAAGGGCATATTTTAAAAGTGAAAATACAGCCTACAGAATGAGAAAGCATATTTGAAAATCATATATATGATAAAAGTCTGAAATATATAAATAAATCTTACACTGTAACAACAACAAAACTGCACAATTAAAAAATGGGCAAATGACTTACTTAGATAGATGTTTTTCCAAAGAGTAAAAATTATGAAAAAAAAACATGAAAAGATGCTCAACATCATCAGTCATCAAAAAAATAAAAAAACTGTGGCATGTAAAATAATGCAGACACTGTAGAAAACTGTTAGGCAGTTTCTCAAAAAGTTAAACATAGAATTGCAATATTATTGTGCAATTTCACCCCTGGATATATATCTTGAAGATTGATTACTTGTGGCCAAAAAACTCTTTGAATATTAATGTAATTAGTAATAGTATTCACAATAGCCAAAAGAGAAACAACCCAAATGTTCATCAACTGATGAATCAATTAAAAATGGGGTATATCTCTAAAATGAAATATTTGTAAAATTAAATATTATTCAGCCATAAAAGGAATGAAGTACTGACACACATTAAAACATGTAAGAACCTTAAAAATATTATGCTCAGTGAGAGGAACCAGGCACAAAAGATCATTTATTGTATGATTCTACTTACATGAAATTCATAAAATAGGTAAATACATGGAGACAGAACACAGACTAGTAGTTGCCAGATGATGGGGGGAGATGGGATGGGGGGAGATGGGATGGGGAGTGATTTCTTAATGGGTGTGGGGTTTTCTTTCTTAAGATGATTAAATGTTCTCCAACTAGATGGCGATGAGAGTTGACCAATATTATGAATGTACTGAAAACTATTGAACTGAACACTTTAAAATTGTTAGAATGGTGAATTTTATGTTACATGAAGTTTACCTCAATTAGAAGGACATATGTTTGCATGTGTGCGTGTGTATCCTGCATGTGTGTATGCATATATATATATGCACACAATATATATACACAAACACACACACATATATATGCACATATGTGTGCGTAGACAGGTACATATATATATGCTGTTTTATGATATTTGTGTCTTTCATAATATTTCCCTTAGTCATTTGGAAAAGCCTATACACAAAAAGTATAAATCCAGTCTATTCAAGCTATTATCAGTAGTGGGACTGGTGGGGAAATAGAGAGAGTATTACATCATTATAGTGAAGCATGATGATTAACAGCAAAAACCTGAAGCAACATGGCTTGAACTTGAAACACTCCAGGCTGTGTTGGAGAGATGCTTTTGCCACTTTCTGGTTGCTCAACTTTAGAATAGTTATAATCTTATTGTCCTAAGCACCTGAAGTGTTTGGTTACCCTTTAATATATACCGTTGTGGTAAAGGATTAAATTACTTGGTATAAAGAAAAATATTCGAATACTACCTGCCATATACAAAGCCTATGGAAATATTAATTGTTGGTCTTATTATCTAAATACGTTGACCGGGATACAAATATAATTGCTCTAGAAACACTTAAACTTTGCACCAGCTTCTAGTTATCTACAGTAGAAAGTCATAGTATTCAAAATTTCTGTAAGTTTACACATTGAGCTTTCTTCAGTGCTGTTAACTGTCCTTTAATTTTTTTAGTAACTATTGTCCTTTGTATTTTTGCTTCTTTTATACTAAATTTAGTGTAAAATGATATATCAAATGATATAAACATATTTGTTTTCAATCTATCATGACCCAAGATACAATAGCAGAGATTCCCTTGTCTCTCCTTATCCCTTTTCTCTTAGATCATTCTGCACACATTCCCCACTTCCCTGACAACATGTATGCACAAAATATATACACACACTCAAAGAGGCAGATCCTTACCGCCCTCAAGATACTTATTGGGGCAGGGCATTGGTAGCCTATCCTTTGTTCATATTCTCAGCCCAGACCTTGAGATAATTCTGTTCAATTGTGCTAACTTACTCTATAATGCTATATATTTAACATTTGGGGGATGCACCCATTTTTTCTTTCTCCATTAATGGCTTTAAAATATAAGTAATGAAAATGTGATCTTGAACAAGGAGACTTTTAGAAAAAGAGATTCATTGCAAGGCATGAGACCAGGATTTTTTTTTCTCCTTTTGAACGTGACGGGACTAATATTAGCAGCCATTCATCGATATTGCTAATTCTTCTTTATTTGAAATTTTCTGTTTTATCTGTTCTGCAGACTCTCTAACCATGCAATAATGCTATTGTGCTACATTAGTTCTCTCTGTAATTGAATCTTTTAAATTTTTTTCTCTGTAATCTTGATCTTTATATAAAATTTAGAATACTTAGGCTTCTTTCTCCATAACAAGTTTTCACAAATCATTATTATCAAAATATTCTCTGCACTGTGTATATTACAAAAAAATTTGAAACATGACAGTTGTGGCACTTATCTGAAGTCACCCTCTATCGTAGTTATCATTATGTCTTTATTTCAACACGCATTTGGTAGGTACTTAACATTTGTCACGTAGTCTGCCTAGAAACGTTAACATTTATGGCAGATATTTAAGCACATTTATTACTCAGTTGAATTGACTGACATTTGTTTGAATATCAGGCAGTACAGAAGTTTTTATCAACAGTACAGATAATAAAGAAACACATATGAAAGGTTATACTGCTGACTTTAGTAGAAAGTTGTGCTTTAGTAGAAATCTGTTTTCAGGGACCACAAATATTCATTATCAGTAAAATGACCAACCTGAGTACACTAGGCATGTCATCAATACCCTTTTTTATTTGCAAAGTGCCAGAGGATTGGCCATTGGGCTTTAAATGCAAATATTATTTGGTACTCAGCACAATGTAGGACATCTGAAACTATTCTCTCAGACAACTCTTACTAGCTCACAGACAGACACTCTGAGCCAATTTTGAAAATTAAAGGCTTTATTCCTCACGCTAGGAAAAAGAAAAGACACTAAGCCCTTTTTTTGTAGTAAAATTTCCTTCTTTATTCCTCTATATTTTTTCCTGTCTCTAATTTTATAAAATATATATTTAATTGTACAAGTAACATACAAATACACTTTTGTTTTATATATGGGTACGCATGTATAATAGTGTACATGTCTGTGTGTGAATATATGTGTGTATATATATATATCTGTACATATGTGTGTGTGTGCATGTTCAGGTATATGTATGGATGTGAGTTCTAGATAAATGAAAAGTTCTACTTGTCATTATATTTTAATAATGGATTGGAACATTACAAAATATATGTTTAAATAAAGGTAATGCAGCAAGAATTTATGGTACTAATGAATAGGACAGCATTTAGGAAAGTGTGGTCTTAAGTTAGTATATGCAGATCACACTATAATCTGTGAGCTCTGTATCAATTGCACATTTCTTTTTGAAAATTGTATTTAAAGATGATGAAATGGGTTTCCAGGTGCTATCCACATGAGTTTGTTTCTGTCGACAATAAATCAATAACCCCTTCTGACATGACTCTGAAAGTAGTAAGAATTCTTGCATAAATCCACTTTCTCCGTCACAGACAGATGGCTATGCCTTAGACTCTTTAAAAGTGCTACTGAGGCTAAATGTTCTACTGAACATTATTTTATTGGCCCAAGGGTGAATGGCCACTTAGATGCTGAAGGAAAGCAATTGTCATTTTGGAAGGAACAAAATGAAAGAGTAAGAATACTAGATATCCCCACCAACATGGAATAGGAAAAGAAACTGGTGGATTTAATTGTAATCAAAGGGGGAAGTTCACACGGTACCTCAGACTATGATAATTTTGTTAGCAGATGATAATTAACAACTGAAAAAGGACATTACATACAAAGTTTGCTTGGCTTTATTAACCCTTTTGAATTATTTTATATTTTTAATACCTACTTTACAAAATAGTTATCATTACCTCAATTTGTAGGTGGAGAAAATGAGAAATGTTGAAAAATGTTTCATATTCTGAAAATGCCAGGTGAGAAATTAAATTTAAGTTCTCTTGTACAGTAAAATCTTTGGCTTCCTAATATATTGACAACTTCCTAAGTGGTGATAAATCTCTAATTATGTTCACAGCTAATAATTTATTATTCCTCCAAATTAATAATGCACTTATCTACATGAACACATTCCGTAAGCTATGAAACATGCTAAGCATATGTTTTTGCATATTTGAATTTTAAGTTATTAATATGTCAGTCTGGAGAATTGTATATTCATTTCTAGTGGGGGAGTGAGGCTTTCTGGAATTGTTTTTGACCCTCTACTTTCACACCTAAAGTCCTTATGAACTCTATTTTTTACGAGGGTCTGCTCACCACAGCTTAATATCCCCTGCTTCTCTTACAAACCCCAAGTCCATGACCATGCTTCGTCTCTTTTGTCTCTAACTTTTTGACTTTTTAACCCCAATAAACCTACAGTGTTTAAATGGAATTATTGTATTGCTCTAGAATGGAGTCTTTTATGAAAATGCCTGAGAGGTAGAAGAAGCTAATCTAGGGACTAGATGTCATAGATATAACTTTAGTTTGTTTCTGTAGAGATTAGTTTCTCAATAAATATCTTGAATAGGTTTGGTTGTTTTTACCTTTCAAGCTATTGTCTTGGTTCAAAGGTTATAGAAGAATTCAGTAATGGTAAAAACCAGACTGATTTGGAAAATAGTTTTTATTGACCTTGAACATGCAGATAACATGGCTGTTCCTATCAAAGCCACCCAAGGACAGTTCATAGTATTAATAATAAACTTTTGCAAGATTTTGTATACTATAAGTATTACCCACATAAAAATTGTCTCAATCTTGGTACCTTTCATCGCATAACAACCTACATTCTATAATTATCATCTCTAATAATTAAAGTGACTCATTGCATAATTTCACATATGCCCAATTGTTTCATATTATCTTGGACTGAAGGATGAAATTCCTGGGGTACTAGAATCTGCATATTCACATTAATTGTAAATTTGTCATCACTATGATAACTTGTTGGGTATAATTTTCTGAGCCCTATTATTAATGGATTGAGAGTTTCTACTTCTTCTGTTGGCTTTCTGATGAATTCAGATAGCTTTTGTTATTTCTATAAATTTATTAGGTAAGTGAAACAAGTCAAATATCACATGTTATCAAAGGGCTGTTGATTTAGAAGTTGACATCTCTCCTACACAACCTCTTTATTATTTCTCATCTTGCCAAATTTTCTGACCACTAAAGCCAAACATAATTAGACTAGATGCTTGGTAAAAACTGTCCTGACTCTTAATAATTTACACTCATGATGTATCAGGATTTCCCTGAGCAGGATTTACGGTGACTGTGGATCCCAGAGAAATATTAACGACAGGAATGAATACAAAGAGGAGTTTTAATAAGCAAATATAATGCAGGTGAAGCTCTGAAAACATAGAAATTAGGTTCTATGTCTCTGTGATGTTGCTTTTCAAACTGTAAAAAACATACAAATTTTCCTGGGCTCTTGTTAAAAATGCAAGTTCTGACTCTGTAGATCTGGGCTGGGGTCCAAATTGCACATTTATAACAAACTTCCAGGTGATACAGATGCTGCTAATCCAAGGGCCACAAGACGTTGAAATTCCTCTCAGAAGAAAGTAAAGAAAGAACACTGAAATCTTTCTTATCATTCCTCTAATCGTATGAGTGGTGAAATTTACTTCTGTCACACTCTATGTCCTTCATTCTAAGTCTTAATATTTTGTGTTGTTCCCTTATTGAATTTTCTGCCCCTTAATCATCTTAAAATTTTACAAAGTTTATGCAAATTTTTGTAGACTTCTCATCAACTTTAAAATACTTGAGGACAGTGACTTTATCTTTAATCTCAGTGTTCTCACATCCTATTATAATGCCTGAGAGCTGCTAAAAAATTTTTGGTTGCATAATAATAGGTAATCAAAGAAACAGGTGAATAATAAGTGAAAATATATCCTCCTTGTTCTGATTTAATTTAAAAGTTGTACCAAAAGTGAGTGCCATTTATCAATGCTTTTGTGAAGAATAGTATAATGATGTCTAGTACAGAACAGCAGAAAAGACAGTACTGTGTAACAAGAAGGCAGAAAAGCAGGTGATTACGAGCACAGATCATGGAGGCAAATTATCTTGGTTTTAATTGTGGGTCTCACAATTACTGGCATTGTGACTATATACATGTAACCTAACCTGTTGGTAGTCGAGTTTTCCATTTGTAAAATGAGGATAATAAAAAATTCCATACATAATTTAGATTTTAATTAGATAATTCCTGTAAAATAGTTAAGAACGTGTCTGGCCAATAGCATACTATACATAGTAGCTATTTTTATAACTAAAATATTAATTCTTATTTTTTTAAAGTTTTAATTCTGTTCAAATAAAAATAATAAATTTCACAGGTACATGGATAATTTGTAAACCAATCAATAGCCCTTTATCAATCCTAAAGAATCACTATTTTTATTTATCAAACTAAGGACTATTTCTAGAAGTTTCTACATTAATACAATTATGCCAGTATTTTTCACTTAAAATGCTATAATAGCGGGGTCAAACCATAAGATAAGAATCAAGAATTAGTAAAATTTATGGAAAGATATTTTAAAATAGCATTGCAATTATATATCTTAAACTTCTACTTTTGCATACACATTTATTACAACATTTGAATTTGCACTAGGATATGGATATGTTTTTTTCTTTAAAAACTGATTGGCTAGCTTCACTCAGATGTATTTTAAAGACAGTTTTCTCATGCTATACTGTAGGTTTTCTCTTCTTGCTGAGCAATTATTACAATGCCAAATTAAACAGAGTTATCTTGTTGAGCCTTTGTCTTATTTTCAGCTTAATTTTAGCAAAAAAGAGCTCCTACATGTGATTTATGATAGGATCATCTAACACTGGCAATCTGTTAAATAAACCATAGCCTGGCTTTTAGATTTTCCTATAAGCTAAAGTGGAAAGGAAATATCATATGTAGATAAGCTTCAGGTAGAAATAAGTGGGTGAATCAGACTGTTGTGATCATTAAAGTGTCTAAAACTCAAGATAATTTAATTTTTGGTAGTGAGTATGCTATATGTATTACCTAGGCATTTTTAGAGATCTTTTTGTTTGTTAGTTTATTTGATTCATGTGGGAATAAATTAATTTACCTGGGAGTTACCTAAGGTTTTCTTCTGTAATAACGTTCATAAGTTAGCTTCCACTTTTATGTACTCTTCCCAATCAATTACATCAGTAAGTTTTTTTTATTCTATCTCTAAAATAAATTCCTAATCTATTTCCTTTTCTTCTTCACTGCTACAACTATAGTTAAATTGCATCTTAGGTTATTCAGTAGACTCCAATTAGTTTTCCTTCAACTACTGTTACCTCAGTACAATTGTTATCCCACAAAATAGCCAGAGCCATTTTTAAAAGGTAAATAAGACTATGTCATTCTCCTGCATAAGATTTTCAGTATCTTTCCAATAAATTTAGAAGCCAATTTTATTTTTTATCTTGACATAGAGTAACCTATCTTTTCTGGTCTCTGCCTGCATCATTTATTTCATTCTTTAACACTCTCCTACTCACATTTTTATTTCTCAGCCACACTAAACCTAAACTTGCTGAGCCCTTCCTTCTCAGAGGCCTTCGGTATAATATGTGCTTTGCATGGAAAATTCTTCACCTTTAATCTCACAAGGTCAGTACTGCCTTGTCATAAAGGTTTCAAATTAAATGACACCTACTTAATTAGGGATTTCTTGACCTTCAGAGGTAAATTAGTGAGACTTTTGGTTTCAGCTCCAAAATGTAGAGCTTCAAAGTTGTCATTCCCATCCTTACACCATAAAGAAGTGGACAAACTGAAAATCAAGGAATTTTGTGGGAACCTTTAAATAACTGAATTTACAAGGCAAAATGCTACCCTCAAATCTGGAGAGAAAGGCAAATTTAAACTCATAGCTAAGATATTCCTACCTGGAGTAAAAGCTGTTGGAAAAATAAATTGGTAGAAAAATTAAATGGTAATGACAAATTGCAGGAAGCTGAGCATGGACCAGTGGGAGAATGAGAAAGTAAGAGTGGAAAATTCCTGGGGGCTGCAGTCATGGGTGGGGAGGAGTTAGTCAGTTTTATGTTGCTAAAACCTGAAGCTCAGTAATTTACTTTTACAAAAGAGAGGTTTATTTGGCTCATAACGTTAGTGGCTGGAAAGCCCAAGAACATGGGATAGGTATCTGCTCAGCTTCCACTAAGGGTCCCACGCAGTAACACAATATGGCAGAGAAGTAGAAAGGTGCAAGGGCGTGTGAAAGAGACTGGGAGGCTGGGCTCACATGAAACAACTTGCTGTCAGGAATGAATTTATTCCTGCCAGAGTGAGAATTCACTCACTCCAGTGAGAAGGCATTAATCTATTAATGAGGGTGGTGCCCGAATGACCCAAGGATTTCCTGCTAGGCCTCAACTCCAACACTGCCATATTGGAAATCAAATTTCAGCATGAGTTTCAGAGGGAACAAACTCACACCTAACAAAGGGGTATAAACTATACTGAGGAATCTCACTAGCATCTCACAGTAGAGATCCAAGAAAGAAAACTTCTGACTGACAATGACCAGGGAAGAGTAATCCTCATGAAATACACCCCAGAGCTTCAGATTCTTCTCCATTACAAAGGCTTACTCCTTTAGGGGAAAGAGTTTAGGAGAGTCTTGTCCTAGAGTAGTGGGGAAACAACATTTCACTTACTGTAGCCCCCTCTAGTAAGCATTTCTCAACTAACTGAGGAAGGGAGGCAAGCTATGCAGGAAGAAACGCTTTTACAGGTCATAGGCTACAAACACAGGCCCCTCCTTTCCACCTATCACCACATCAACAAGACCCTAATATATAGTCATGCCTTGCTTAATGACAGGAATATGTTCTGAGATATACATCATTAGGATTTTAATAAATGCTTTGACATCATGAATGAACGCCTTGAGTGTCTTCCTTCAGATGCCATTCACACACTCCTTGGGGATATCACCCCAAGACCAAGCAAGGTTCTTGATGCAGTCATAAATGTTGTAATACTTTCATTGCAACAATGCCTTCTCAGTGTCTTTCTCAGTCACAATACCCTAGGCAAAGGTCATTTTCAGGTAGCAGTCCTTAAAAGCTATTATAACTCTTGATCCATAGATTGAATCAAAGAGGTGGTGGTTGGAGGGAGAAACCTCACTCTGATATTGGAATGAAGATCACCAATTAAAGGATAATGTGAGGAAGCACTAGGAATAATAATAAAGCAAAATTTTGAAAAGTGTGCTATTGTCCAAACAGTATTTTTCTCTGACATGGAAATTCCGGGGGAGGGGGTTATTCAAAGAGCAAGGGTCATCTATGACTTTTTATATTGCTCCTGTAGTCACTGGCAGTGTGTGCTTCTTTGTTTGTTTGTTTGTTTGTTTGTTTGTTTTAATTGCTTGACTGGGCACAGTAGCCAGGTCTGTAATTCTAGCACTTTGGGCTGAGGCAAGAGAACTACTCAAGCTCAGGAGTTTGAGACCCACTTGGGCAACATAGGAAAACCTCATTTCTACAAAAAAAGAAAAATTAAATTAGCTGGACTTGGTGGTGTGTACCTATGGTCCTAACCACTCAGAAGACTGAGGTAGGAGATAGCTCGAGCCTGGGAGGTCGAGGCTGCAATGAGCCATGAATTTGCCACTGCACTTCAGCCTGGGTGACAGAGCAAGACCCTATCTCAGAAAAAAAAAGAAAAAAAAAGCAAGAAAGAAATTTAAAAACAAACAGAATTTTGAGACAGTCTCCTTCTCTTGCCTAGGCTGGAATGTGGTGGTGTGATCATAGCTCATTTCAACCTTGAACTCCTGGCCTCAAGTGATCCTCCCACCTTGGCCTTCTGAGTAGCTAGTATTATAGGTGCATACTACTGCACCCAGCTAATTTATTTGTTTAGTAGAGACAGGATCTTGCTGTACATTTCAAGGTGGTTTCCAACTCCTAGCCTCAAGCAATCTTCCTACCACAGCATCCCAAAGTATTGGGATTACAGGTGTGAGCCACTATGCTCTGCCAGTGTATGCTCATGAATATGTCCAGTGGCCATGGGATTTTCACTGTGCCATATCACAAAGGTTTCAATTTTTAGCCTGCAACATTGCCATCAGAAAACTGTTATCCTGGCCCTAAAAGACGCGAAACTTGACATTGACTTGGCTTCTTTGTAGATTAAAGTCCTTTCAGGCATCTGCTTGCAGAATAGGGAGGTTTTGTCCATATTAAAGATTCCCTCTAGCAAGTAATTTTCCCCCACAATCAATTTGTCTAGAGTTTCCAAAAATTATTCAACTCTCTTCATATCTGCACTCACAGGCTCACCACTCACTTTCACATTATGTGATGAATAACAATTCTAAAATCATTTAAACTACCCAGATCTAGCAGTAAATTTAACATCTTAGTCAGCTCCTGCCTTTCTTTCAATATTACAAACAAATTTTTGCTTTGACACTAATCATCATTGTGCTGAAAGGGATATGCCTCTGTGTCTGGACTTTAACACACGTCATTATATGCTTCTCTATGTCTAACATGGGCCCTTCTCAAAATTTTCTTAGTCTTGTTGCATTCAATGAAGCAAATTCTTTAATAGCTTCCATTACTTTTTTCTCGTTCTTCAAGATAGCACCTGTAATGGAATGGGACATGCCTGATGAGTGAGCAGGGAAATCTTCACTGGTTTTCTACCTTCATAGTCTGTAATCACTTTTAATTGTATTTTCAGATTAATCACTTGCCATGACCACTTACCAGCAACATTAGCAGTAAATTCTGTATGCATAGGAACGATGATAAATAAGCAGAAAATTAAATCAAGCACAAGACAAATAATGCAATCAAGAAACCATGTGAACACAAGATGTATGATATTTCTGCTGCTGTAACAGCATACTATTTTACAGTAATTTATATATATATGTGTGTGTGTGTATAAGTATACTGTAAAATAATAATTAATAGTATAGTGAATACATAAACCAGAAACAGTCATTTATTATTATTATCAAGTATTACGTACTGTACATAATTGTATATGTTAGACTTTTATATGACTGTAGTAGGTTTACACCAGCATCACCACAAATGTGTAAGTAATGCATTCCACTATTATGTTATAATGGCTACAGTATCACTAGGTGATGGAAATTTTTCAGCTTTGTTATAATCTTATGAAACCATTGTCACATATGTGGTCCATCATTGACTGAAACATTGTTGTGTCCCTTAACTGTAATAGGGATCACAACTGAAAGGACTGAAAGATTATAGACACTCTCTGCAAAGGAGTATTTAGAGGAGCTCAAACACAATAGATAGACAAAAACAAGGACACCAAAGGAATTTTAAGCCTCTTTCATCCATAACTACAGCAACTATTAAACTAAGTTTAACTCCTAGTCAGGTCAACAAATAAATCCCCTAAGTAGAAAAGCCTATTTTCCTCAATTATTATTATTGAATGCAACATGTCCAGTTTTTTAAAATAACAACAAGATATGCTAAAAGTCAGAAAACAACACCAGTCTAAAGAGACAAAACAAGCATCAGAACCAGACTTAGATATGACACATATGTTGGAATTATCAAACAGTAAATGTAAAATAATTATGATTATTATGTTAGGAGCTCTAATGGAAGAAATAGATTATATGCAGTGACAAATGGGTATATAAGCTAAAGAATAAAAATGCTAAGGAGTACAAGAAAATGCTGAAAATCAAAAATCTTCAAACATAATAATGTCATTGATGGATTAATTAGTAGAGGGAACATGGCTGAGGAAACAAACAGTGAATTTTTGAAGACAGATTAATAGAAACTTCAAAAAATAAATGGAACACCCAAAAATTGTGGGTCTATTTCAAAAAATGTGACACACGCCTAATTGAAATATCAGAAAAAGAAGAAATATACATAAAAATGTCATCTTTGCAATATCATTATCAGTTATATGACTGAGAACTTTCCAAAATTAATGACAGATATCAAACCACAGATCCAAGAAGCTCAGAAAATACAAAACAATATAAACACCAAAAAAACTAAATCTAGTCATGAGATAAAATTTAAGTTACAATGAATCAACATAAAGACAAAAACCTAAAGGAAGCTGGGGGTTGATGGATACACAGGGAACCACATCTATAGAGGAGCAAGGATAGGATATATGTTAGGCTTTTCATCAAAATTACATGAAAGATTATGAAAGCAAGAGGAAGGTGTAGTAAAATATTTGAAGTGTTGAAAGAGAATAACAGGAAACAAAACTGCCAATCTATAATTCTATAGGCAGTGAAATTAACCTTCAGAATTGAAAGAGAAATAAAAATCTTCCTCAACAACTAAACAACAACAAAAAAACTGAGTGAATCCATTGCCAAAACATTTGCCCTTCCAGGAAAGTCAAAAGAAGTTATTTAGACAGAGATAAAATAGATGAGAGAGAAATATGAATCTACATAAAGAAAAGAAGGGCACTGGAAAATGAGTGAGTGAAGGTAAAATATATTTGACTTTAAAAAATTGACTTTAGACAAAATATATTAATCTAAATTAGTAAGAGTAACAATGTATTGGGCTAGTATAGCATATGAAAAAGTGAGTTAACTGGTATCAATACCACAAAAAAAAGAAGAAAATAATTGGTAATACTCAATTTGAAGCATAATAGTATTATTTAGAGGTGGTCATAGATTAGTTATAAATATATATTATAAATTCTAGATCAACTGCTTTTTGTTAAATGACATAATTGATCTGCTTAGCGAAGAGATAAAATATAATCATAAAAATGATCAATTGAAATAAGAGAAGGCAGAAAACCTCAAGCAATAAATAGAAAAATGTTACAAATATGGTAGATTTTAAATCAAATTTAGTATTACTTTAAATGCAAATTATTTAAATACACCAATTAAAAGAGAAAGTTTTCCATAATGAATGTTAAAAAATAACAATTTCCAACTACATGTGGTCTAACAAGAAACTCAAACTATTTATAAAGACTCTGCCAGATCAAAATTAAAGGTTAAAGTAAGACATGCCATGCCAACAATTATCAAAACAAAACTGAAATAATAATAATTTCAGACAATTCAGTCTTCATAAGAAATTATCAGCAATAAAAAAGAGGTAAATAATGATAAGTCAGTTCTTCACAAAGGCATTAGAATCTTAAGTGTATATACTCTTAACAGCATCAAAATAATTAAGGGCAAAAATTGACAAACAAAGAGAAAAAAACATAAAATTATAGTTGAAGATTCAAACCCACCCACCTCAGTAATTTTTTCATCGAGTAAGTCAAAAATAAGGAAGTATATAGTTGACCTGAACAGAACTATTACTCAATGTGTTCTAATCGACATTTATAAAATTATCTTCCAATCATCAACAGCAGAATACACATACTTCTCAAACTCTCATGGGACATTTACCGAGAAAGATCATATTCCAGAATATAAAACACAACAAAGTCAAAAGAATTGGAATCATGCAATATATGTTCTCAGACCACAGTGGAATTAAGCCAGGAATGAAAAACTGAAACATAACTGTAAAATTTAAAACTATTTGGGAATTATACAAAACACATATAAATAACACCTGGATTAAAAAATCTCAAAATTTAAAAACATTTCAAACTAAATAAAAATACAACTTAAAATGTGTAAGATGCAACAAAAACTCTTCATAGATGGACATTTATAACATTAAACACATGCAGTAGAAAATAAGAAAGATTTGAAATCAATAATCTAAGTTAATTGCCTAATTTTCTCCATATTTCCAAACCCAGAGCAAAGTCTGGTACACGAGCTTGTTCCTTGTCCCTAATGTCACCACATTAGCAGAAATATACTGATTAAATTGTGTATAATAACTCCAACATGGCCAACATTAGATCTCAAAGAAAACATACTGGGAAAGGTATTTTGGTTAATCCCAAACCTTAATCAACGTGCATTATACTTGCAGGAAATCTAAGAGTGAAGCTATCTTCTAAAGAATATAATTTCATCTGGCCATTTTCAGTATCTACTATTTAAATAATAATTGGTCAATATTGTAAACTATACCCTTTGGCCTATTTAGTGCTGTATTAATTATTTGGTCATTATTTATAAGTACATTTCTTTCTCACATTTGCAGACATTTGATTTTTTTAAACTTTTTCTTTTCTCCTGGCCTTAATTTGCAATCAGAATACTTGTTGGAGAAGTACATGGACAGATTGAAATTTTTCGGAAGAAATTAAGAGCTGCAGTGGGCTGAAGCAATTAGGACTTCATGGATCAAGCAGAACCTGTTCTAGTATAAAGCCCTGATCATGATACTACTGTAAATACATCTAGTATATGTGAGGGGTATGAAAGAACTTAACTACTCAACAAAGCCCTCTTGCTTGTTCTCCTTGACTTTTAATTTTGGCACATTATCTAGGTGATCTGTAGTATTGATGTAGCTCAAAATAATAGGCTCCCATTCTTGGCTGCCCAAGCATTAGTTACAAAGGGACAAAGTTTAAAATAATATGCATTTTTTATTTGCTATATTCTTTCTCAAATAACTATATATCAAATAAGGAAGGGTTTCTAATTCATCATCTCTGTTGTCATAAAAATATAACCTTAGGTGTTGAACTGTGATGACTTCTTATTCATAGTATTAGCTTGAAGAAAACTAAAAAAGAACTTATTAAATAGGTGCATGGATAATTGACATTAACATAGTTTGAAAATGTGTCCCCATAAAACCTCATGTTAAATTATACTCCCCAGTGTTAGAACTAGAGCCTGGTGGGAGATGTTTGAGTTATGGGGTTGGATCCCTCATGGCTTTATGCTGCGCTTGAGATATTAAGTGAGTTCTCACAAGATCTGGTTATTTAAGAGTGTGTGGCTTCCTCCCAACTCCTCTCTTGCTCCTGCTTTTGCCGTGGGACGTGACTACTCCAGCTTTGCCTTCTGCCATGAGTAAAAGCTTCCTGAGGCCTCCCAGAAGCCAAGAAGAGGCTGGTGCCATGCTTGTACACCCTGTAAAACCATGAGCCAATTAAACGTCTTTTCTTTATAAATTACCACGTCTCAGGTATTTCTTTATAGCAATGCAAGAACAAACTAATATAGAAAATTGGTACCAGGA